>NC_000006.12:11272121-11423636 GCF_000001405.40 Homo sapiens
TTCCATGGGTGCTGAGCCTGGGGACTTGGTTTACCTTTTCTCTCGTGCTGCAGATGAGGATCTCTGTGTCTGAAGGATTACTCATTATGTGCAGAAAACAAATCAGGTCTTGTCACTCCCTCCACCTGCAAATCTGTCTTCGTCTATCACAAATGGTAGTTCCTCTTGCTTTCTAATGTTCCATAGAAGAGAGGGGCGACTCAGTACAAGATGTAGAATTCACAGTCAGTACCTGACAGATGTTATACTTTTTAAAAAATTCAAACAAAACAAAATGATCACCTTCTACTTTTAAGGTTTCTGGCTACATGCACATTTGAACGCAGCTTGGTCTAGATTTGCTTTTTACATTTCTCTTTCATTGCAATGTTTCAAATTAAGGTAGGATGTGTGAGCAAAAGAAGGGGCAAAAGAAGAAGGAGAACGCTATCATCTGATGAATTTATTTCAAGATCGGTAACTGGGAAAATTCTCGTTTTGCACTAATAGTAGAAGGTGTGTTTCCTTTCCCCCACCTAACCTCAGATTGCTCAGTTCCTTGCCTCCCCTTCCACCTGCCTTGGTGTGCACAGACCCTGGAGGTGTGGGATGAGAATGGAGCTGCAGAGGAGTCTCCAAGGTGCAGAAAGAAAAGCCATGCCTGGGAGCCGCAGTTGGAAGCATCATTTCTTTGTTTTCGGCTTCATCCTGGTCACACTTCATTGCATTCTCCAGTGTGCAAACGGAGCGTTGTTTACCCATACAGATATTGGGTGGTTGTTGTTTTTATATGTTCTTCATAGCTGTTTGCTGGATTTTCCTCTGTCTTCTTCCCAGTTTGATTAATCACTTCCCTCTTGACCCTGAAATCATCAGCCTGTCTGTGCCAAAACACCGCCTCCCACAGAGATAGGGTCTGGTGAATATATCCGTCACATAGCTCTGCTTGTTTTCCAGTCTTCGTGATTAACAGGGACAAGTGGCTCTGTGCTGGCATCTGAAAAAAAGACACTCCTATTGCTTAACCGTTGCCCAGTTTAACTCACTTGAGGAAGTGATTTCTTGGGAATTGGCTAGGTGAAGGTTTATTGAAAGGAGTGTCCAAGATTATGATATTGGGAATTAAATAGCCAGGCAATTAACCATCTACTTTTCCTTATGTGAGTGTACTTTACCTAATAGATATATTCTTGAAAATGTGTATCCAAGTTGAGATTAAAAAAATTATAACTAGCACAGAGGTATCAGTTACTTAAGACTCTGGTTAAAATGAACAATTTGTTTGTAAATGAATAATCCCTCTCTAATTTAGTTTCTATAAAAACAAGCATTCAAAAGGGTTGAATTTGCTGAAAGCAAGGGCAACCTGAATCATGACAAGTGCCACCGATGCTGAGGTGCGAACGGCCGGGGACTGCGCCTATCTGTGTGCGTTCACCTGTGTTGCCCTCCACACAGTCCCCGCCTGTGGTCTAGCCTTCTACTCCCTTTCCGGCCGGCAGATTCCGTCTTGCCAGTGGCTTGATATGACTTCATTTATTTGAGGTTGTGAGTCAATGTTATCAAGATCCGAATTACCCTGGGCATTGTTCATACAATGGAAGGCCGAAATGGACACCCATGACATGTAGGGCAACCGTGAGTAGAGCCTCACTCAATATGAGATTGTTCCCTGGAAAATTCCTGTGTTCACCCGACAGCAAGTGATTCAGATGTCAAGATTAAGGAAAACGACTATGGGGGTGGACAGGTACTTTGACGTACTCTGACCTCTTTTTATAGGATTGGTTTCTTCTTCATTAGCATTTTCCCAAGTCGAGCAAAGAAATGTTGCCTACCTGAATGTCACGTCAACATCCAAATGTGCTTTTCCTCTTTCTAATGAAAGAATTCAGCCAAAGGCTGCAATGAACATGCTACGAGATACTGTTTCCAGGCAAAATCCAAAAGTTGTTTTGAGACCAAATCCTTTTTCCACTCTCTCTCCCTCTCTATGTCAAGCCCAAGAACCAGATGAGAATTGGAGTTAGTATTTGTTAGGAGCTTTTTGGAACATACCCTCATTTGCACATATCTCAATTTCCAAGTTTTACGGAAGTAATAATAGAGTATTTTGTTATAAAGGGGTATGGGATAGGGCTAAATGACCTGGGCTGTCCCTGTGATCAGGGAGTGTCCATGTCTTATGTTCTGAAGGGTGATGTGGGCCCCACTCTTCAGATTCTTCCCTGGACCTGGAAGGGGTACCCAGTCACATCTCACTCACCTGGCCCTCAGTGCAGACAGGGCTACAGCTGGTGCCACACTCTGGGCCCCTTTCACCAGGCTGTGAATGCTGTAGATCAACCTTGGTTTCTCACAAGCACCCCTAGGTCTATCCTTGCTCTCTGGGAGTATTAATGCTTTCCTTATTTCCCACTAATCAGTTATTCAATCAACTCGTTAATCCACTTCTGGGCCTGCTGGGCACAGAGCACTGTACTCTCTGTTGGGAACTGTACTCTCTGCTGTACTCACTGTACCAAGCTGAATAATACCTACTGCATCACAATAATATATGACCTCAGACCTGTTAGAATTGCTATTACCAAAAAATAAAGCATGAAAAAACCAATGATGTGTGTTGGTGAAGATGTGAATAAAAGAACCCTTACACACGGCTGGGGAAAATGTACACTAGTACAGTCCTTATGAAAAACAGTAGGGAAATTCCTCAAAAAATTAAAAATAGGACTACCATATGACCCAGCAATTCCATTCTGGTCTAGATATATACACACTTCTAGGTACAAATCTAAAGAAATGAAATCAGTGTGTCAAAGAGCTCTCTGCACCCCCATATTCATTGTAGCAGCATTGACAAGAGCCAAGTTATGGAATCAACCTAAGTGTCCAATGGATAAATGAATAAATGTAGATGAATAAAGAAAACGCAGGACATATAGATAGTAGAATACTACATATCCTCAAAAAAGGCCATCTTGGCATTTGTGACAACATGGGTGAACCTGGAGGACATTTTGCTCAGGGGAATAAACCAGACACAGAAAGACAAATACAACACGATCTCACTTACTTGCAGGCTGTAAAAAAGTGGAACTCATAGAAGTAGAGAGTAGAAAGGTGGTTATGAGAGGCTAAGGTTGGGGAGAGGAGGTACAGGGATTGAGGAAATGTTAGTAAAAGGATACAAAATTTCAGTTAGGAGGAGTAAGTTCAGAGAATCTATTGTGTGTCATGGTGACTATAGTTAATAGTAAAGTATTGCATACTCGAAAATTGCTAAGAGAGTGGATTTTAAATATTTTTACCCTAAAAAAATGATATATGTCAGCTAATGCATATGTTAATTAGCTTGATTTAGCCATTGCACAAACATTCAAAAGATCATGCTGTACATCATAAAATATACGCATTTCTTATTTGTCAATTAAAATACATACATACACACACACACACACACACATATATATATATACAAAATTTTTTTTAAAAGACCTCCTGCATGTTCTCAGCTAGTGAATGGTCTAGCAAGGAGGCCGACATGCCCACAGGCAGCAAGCTCAGCACTTTGTCAAGGGTGCTAGGATAGAAACAAGCACAGAGCAAACAGAGCAGGTGTGACTGATGAGTTAATGGTTTACTTGTATTAATGCTCGTTCAGTATAAGCTGCAAGCTGGGAAATTCTTCCAAGCCACTCAAATCACTCAGCATTGGACTTTTGCTTTTCTGGTGACACATCTACTCAAACTGGGGGAGGATGTTCTTGTAGTTATTGGCTTTGCTAAAGCAGCACCCACATTAAAAAAAATGAGAACCGAAGATAGGAAGCACATGTTTCAACCTCCTCAAACGGGAAGTTAGATTCTACTTTAGATAATCACTACTTTAAAGTGTTTTAATCATAAGAAATCATCTCAAGACATCATTAGATACTGATGGATCAATCTATAGTAAATTTGTGGAGATGTCATAAATTCAAAATTTCAAACAATACGCTAGATTTGGAAGTGGGAGACATCTTTCAGTTGTGCAAACAGAAACAGAGATAGATTAAGAAATCTAATTAAAACCTCCACCAATACCAATTAAAATGGAAATTACCTGGGAGAAAATGAGTCTTGATTAAGAGAAATGCCTGTGTTACAGATTTTTAAATGCAAGTTAATTATTATTATTTAGCTACTACTTAATTGGCATTCATTCTATGCTAGCCTGCATTATTGGCTCTGTGTGTGTGTGCATGTATGTGTGCATGCGTGTGTGTGCACCTGTGCACGTGTGTGTGTGCGTGCATGTGTGTGTGCACGTGTGTGTGCGCACGCGCACACATGCTGAGTCTTCTCTCCTTATCTAAAATGTAAGTTCCTTGAGGGTAGGGATTGATGGAATTCCTAGGGCCTAGAACAGGGGTTTGCAGGGAGTGGGTACACAGAGGGTGCTGCTGTTGCTGCTACTCACGCTTTTGGCCCACCTGAACCCAAATCAGTGCTTAAAATTCTGCCAAGTCAAACCTCATTAGGATTTTTTTTAACTTCAAACCCAGCTCTTTCTGGAGGTCCTGGTTCCCTGATTCTGATGCTTTTGCAGAAGGGCATCTGAGTACCAGAGGGGAACAGGATTGGTTCCACCTTCTCTCTTTACTCAGGAGAGCACAGTAGTAACATGTGCCAGGCTTCCAAGGGAAAACAGAGCCAAATAGTGGCCATTATTATAGCATAATGCATATGTGATGGGAAAGAGGGATTCAAAGGAATTTGGAAGGAACATAATGGAGGAACAAGGATGAATAGTTCAATTAGATCCTGGCAAAGGAATAGCTCTTTGGTTACAGGATCTGGAAACAAACAAACAAACAAACAAACAAACTAGTGATGGAAATGAAAATAGAGTCACTGCAGAGTTTCCAAGGCAGCGAAGCAAGTGTACCAGCACAGTACAAGAGGGCTCTGATGCCCGGGGGGTGCATCTGGAAGTGACTAATTTTCATTTGTAATATGGTGCAGTGGCAAAGCATGGGGCGGAACTATCACGCTGCAAAGACATCCACTGGGAAAGCCACCAGCCACTCTGAGCAATGTCTCTTGTCCTTACACTTAAAATGGAAGCTGCTGGAAGAAAAGGGTTTCTGCCTCTACTTACACCACTGAGTACTTGATAGGTAGTGAGACTATGGTTTTGGAGAGCAAATGTAAACACAGCCAAGAATGGCTACTTAAGTCAATAGTGGGAGGTTGGAAGAATGAAGCTTTTATTAGACAAAAGGTCAACATTCATGAGTGAGAAGAGAGAGGTGGCGTTTGGGGGTGGGGAAGTGGTGGAGGAAGAAATTCCAAAGCATGTTACAAATGGGGCTCAGGAATGTGTTTCAATTAGCAAAGGAAGTGAGCTAGGAGGTCTGAGTTCTGACAGGCATGGGCAGGGGGTGGAAAAGAGACAGAGGCCAGCTGGTGAGAAAAGGCTCAGAGAGCAGCGCGAACTAGTCCACAGGGATGAGGCACGTTGCCCTCAGCCCTGAGATTCTCAAGGAGGCTAGGACATCTTAAAAAATTGGACTTTTGCCCATAGCAGTGTTGAACCATCTCAGTTTGGTGCTAAAGGTCTGTGGTGGAGGCACATTTCTTCCAGCATGTGGGAACTTGAGGGGCAATTCTCTTTCTGATTCTACAGCGGATGTTGTGTAGCGTTCACCCACTCTAGGGCAATAGGGACTTTCTTTGGTGACTTCCCAGCTACGGAATGATTAGTAATAGCTAACTCGGCTGGTTCTTCTCCATTTGCCTGCCTCCCACCCACCCAGATTCATTCTCTTTCTTCCTTTGCCTTGCCTTGCCTCTTGAGAAGCTGAGCCTGAGGGCCACTTCTTTTCCACTCCCTGGCTTCTCACTGGATCCAGCCAGCGGGAGGGAGGCTCCTGCAAGAGGTCGGAGGCTGGAGGGAGAATGGGAGTCGGGTGCTTCCTCTCTGCTGCCTCCCTGCTTCTCTCCACAGCCTCAGCTTTCCCTGGGATCTCATAACACATCTTCTTCCCCTCCCGCTTCCTGTCCAGGCTAGTCAAGCTTCTCACTCGCCAGCCTCTGGGAACCACAGTAGCCTTGAATTGCGCTCTTTTCCCAGTTCGCACCTCTGCCTCTCCTCCTTGTTCATCTGAAGCGAATTCTGTACCCTGCCAGACCCTGCCTGTAACGCTGACTGTGCTGAGTGTTGTGACGTGCCAGACCCTGTCCCCAGCCCTCTCTGTGCACTGACTCACTGAGTCCTTCCAACACTTATAGATGAGGCTGGTGTTCAAAAAGGTTAAGATACTTGCTCGAGGCCACAGAGTTGAGGTTTGAACCTAGGTAATTGAGCTCTAGACCCCAAACACTTAACCACTGGTCCTTTCTACCTCTCTCCTAGCTTGAGGTCACATTGCTGAGGTACAGCTAAGAATGAGAAAGTTGCAGATTCGAAGAGCTCAAAATACATGCCAAAGGTTTATACACTAAAGCTTATTTGTAGGAAAATCTCTCAGATCATATTAACTCTTATTTTGTGCACAATTCTAACAGATAAGATACTGGATTTCCCATCTCAGTGGTTCTCAGCCTTGGCTACTCAACACAGTCACCTGGGGAGTTGCAAACTGTCCTCTTGCCTAGGCCAGTGAAAACACAATTCTGGAGATGGGACCCAGGAGATTTCAGCATGCTGCCAACATTCAGAACCACTGTCCTAGCCCACAGCGGCAATTACTAGAAGGCAGGGATTACAGATGGACAGGTCGGGAGATGTAAGTAAAGAGTAGCAGCTGACAGCTACACAAAGGGAGGATAAAGAGTTAAAAAAAAAAAGCAGGGGGAAAAAGGTTCTGATCTGGGTTCATTTAATGTCTGGGCAAACTACCCCTAGGTCTGCAGACATCTTATTATTTTTATTATTACATTATACTCATTATTCTGAGCCAGTTAAAAAATAGAAATATTGTCAATATACTTGATTGAAGTAAAGGCAATAGATACCTTTTGGAAAGTTGTCTTCACCCTAAAAGGCTACATCATTAAGGATATTCTTTAATAGGGTGAACTTGAGCTATCTGGAAGATTCACTTAAAATATGATATTTCCAGCTGATCTGTTGATGCCAAATAAATGAGGAATTGCTGCAGGACTGCAGATGTTTGTCAGAATACTCACACCTGCTGACTTTCAGCAGATGAGAAGTTCACTTGCTCCTGATTCATGCTCACAGATGACATTTTCATATTTCTTGGCCCTAATGCGGGTGCTTGGACAAACACTAGAGCTCCCCAGGCCATGGCAAAAACAGAGGACGATGCCAGCGGCGCGTTCTCCTGGAAACGGTCCGCGGCACCGGGAAAAGCGAAGGCTTCGTGTGTCTCAGCGTGGGCTGCGGTCTCCCGGTTGTTATTGTTGGTTGTTCTTTTTGGACTGGGGTTGGAATATTCCAACAATCTGTTCCTGACAGAAGACCAAACAACTTTTATTTCTTTCTTATGTTTCTCGTGGCTGGTCTTCTTGTTTACATGCTTGCCTGCGAAAGCTGATGTTGTGATGTGAGGATGGCTCGCAGGATATCAAGGGTGGCTCAGGGCTCCCCCTTGCATTAGTTGAGAAGCCGGGGCCAGGCAAGGGGAAATTCAACAATTGCCATTCCCACTGCAAACAAACAGCTCTCATCTCCTCCCGCTCCCCGCACCCCTGAAACTCCATTGCTGCTTATTCCTTCCCTCCAGTTCTTCAAGGACTCTAGCACTGTTTTGCGTTATCTTACCTTGAAAACACAGATTTCAGCATTAGCTCACCTTGAAAACAAAGATGTCCCAGAGAAACATCGTGGGTGGCTCCCGGGAAAGGTCTTGCAGCTACAGCCTTGTCCAGGCTCAGCTCCTGCCTGGGCAGGATTCTCATCCTTGGCCTATTGACATTTGGGGCCAGATCATTCTTCATGGTGGGGGCTGCCTTGTGCATTATAGGATGTTTTGCATCATCCCTGGTCTCTACCCTCTAGATGTCAGTTGCATGCCTTCCACCATTTTTGACAGTGAAAAATGTCTCTATTCATTGCCAGTGTCTTGTGGGGGATGCAATTACCTCCAGCTGAGAAACAACATGCCAAGGGGAAGATGTATGGAGACCTTAGCTTTCCAATTCCATCAGACACTGGGTACCCTGGGGCCAAGGAACTAAACTAACATCTCAAGGTTGTTCACTCCACCACTTGGCTGTGAGGTGTGTGGGCTGTTGTCCTCTATCTAAAGTATTTTCATGTAAGTGAAGAGTTAGACCTGTTTTGCATGGACCCTGGATTGACTGGGAACTTTCCAGCAGTCAGAACTGGCCAGGGGAAATGAGCAGCCTGAGGAGTGGCTGGCCCCCACCATGGGGAGGACTGGGTGTCTTCCATTTGCTCCTCCGGTGCCATCTCCACCCTCTTCTCCCCTGCTCTGCACCCCAGAGTCTGACCTGCAGTTATTCCACTGGGCGGCTCCTCTGCCCTTTGGCTTCCAGTTGAGTGGAGAAGGAAGTAAAGTCTGGACATTTTCCCCTGCCTCTCCCATCCGTACAAGGCCACTGTGGCTTGGCTATGTCCCTCAACCAATGGTCTTGACTCCTGTTGGGGGCCCCACGCTTGGAGCCCTCTTCTGCCTCCTAGGCATGGTGAGGGAGGTTTCCCTGACACTAGCCCTGGCCACTGCATTGCCCTTGGTGTTTGCCAAGCCCTGGCCTCACTTGTAGCTAGTCCTGGCATCAAATCCTCTGAGTTCCTGTTACATTAGGATAATCTGAGTGTGTCCTGTATGTCTTGCTGGGATCTTTTCTAATACAAGAAGTCATGGGGATTTTATATTGAGGATACATGGACCTTCAAGGCCTCTTTGAACCCACAGATTCTACGACATGCATAAGCATTCAATGGTTGCTCAAACACTAGCCTGAAAAGGAAAACCTTGTCCTCTTGGCTGAGAGATAATGAATATTTATTCATAACTTCCTATATTTGTATCATTGCTGTGGAAGAAAGATAGGCATGTTTAGAATGCCCAAATGCTTGTGTTGCAGATGGTATCAGTTGTTGAACCAAGAACTACCCTTTTAAGTCTTCTTTCTTGCTTACAGAACCCTGACTTCTTCCACCTTCCTCAGAGCAGCCATGTCCTTTGAGAGGCCCTGGGCTCTTCCCCAGCCCTAAAGTGTGATATCGATTTCTATCATTCTGCCTTCCAGGATTGTCGTAGACATGGGTGCATGGTACAGTTCTGGGTTCGTTGAAAAGATAATTATGCAGGAGGTTGCTGGTAAAGTTTCTTCACTCTTAGAAAGAGACACAATGAAAGGCTATTCCCTTTATTCCACCTCTGGACATTGGTGTGAGAAGATGTGATATCTGGAGCTACAGCAGTCCCCCCGTTTTTTCTTTTGTTTTTATCTTTTTAGAGACAGGGTCTCCCTGTGTTGCCCAGGCTGGTCTCAAACTCCTGCACTCAAGGGATCCTCCTGCCTTGGCTTCCCAAAGTGCTGGGATTACAGGCATGAGCCACCACACCTGGCCAACAGGGTGGCAGAGCCCAAAGATGAAGAAATCTTGGTCCTTGATATGTTTGAGCCAATGAGATAACCAACCTCAGGATTACTCTTTTTTTATATATTTTTATTTTTATTTTTATCTTGAGACAGACTCTCGCTCTGTCACCCAGGCTGGGGTGCTGTGATGTGATCTCGGCTGACTGCAAACTCCTGGGTTCAAACAATTCTTGTGCCTCAGCATCCTGGGTAGCTGGGATTACAGGCACACACCACCCCAACCAGCTAATTTTTGTATAGATAGGGTTTTGCCATATTGGCCAGGCTTGTCTAGATCTCCTGGCCTCAAGTGATCCACCTGCCTCGGCCTCCTAAAGTGCTGGGATTACAGGGATGAGCCACTGTGCCCGGCCCTCAGAATTACTCTTCTCAGAGAATTATATTATGTGACATCATGAATGCTTTTATTGCTTAAGCTATTTTTGGTCAAGATTTCTGGTACTTGACCTGTAGCACAAGGTACTTTAATACATGGTTTCAGGTGTTCATCTCCTTTAATTCAGTAATAAATAGTAGAGATTAAAAACGCCATCTGAACCTCTCAGCGACTTTTGCTCACTCCCTCCTTGGAGCAATTTTACAGTTTGGCTTACATGTTACCATGCTTTCCAGATACTCCTCCGACAACCCTGGCTGTTCCCTCTCACTGTCTTTTCTTGGATGCTCCTCTTCTCTTTTCTAGCAAGTCACCACATGGTGCCAGTGCCATGGCTTTAATGGCCATGCAGACAGTGATGACCACAAACGGAAGTCTCTCTAACCTTGACTCTTCCTCTGAAGCCCAGCTGTGTGTATACAACTGCCTGCTCAACATGAACCCTGGATATCTCATAGACAATGCCAACTTCACATGTCCAGAACAGACTTGCTGTCCCTCCTCCAACCTTCTCCATGGTTCTACATCTCAGTAAATGGCATTCTCCTTTGCTATAACCAATTTTAGAGTCATTTTTTACTTTTTTCATGGCATGGAACCTAAACCCTACATCCCATCCTTCAACATATATCACATATCTGTTTCTTGCCTCTTTGACTACTACCTTCCTTGTTCATCTAAGCCACCAATATCTCTCTCCTGAGCTACGGCAACAGCTCCTCGCTGGCTGTCCTGCTTTCCCTCTGGCTCCCTGGTGATCTGTTCTAGGTATATCGGCCCAAGTGATTTTTCTAAATAAGGTCAGATCTTGTCACTTTCCTTCTGGAACTCTCCAGTGGTTTCATATCTCGCTTGGAATATACAGAAAAGTCGTTATGATCACCTACAATGCCCTATATGGTTTGGCCTTTGGATGCCTCTCCAGCGATCTCTTTATTGCAACCATACAGGCTTCTTTTATTTTCCTCAAACACTTTGAGCAAACTTCTACCTTATGACCTTGGCATTTGCCAGTCCCGTACCTGGAATGTTCTACTAGCTGCCCAGCTGTCGCCTCACTCACTGTTTTCAAGTCTCTATTCAACCATTGCAGCCTCAGAAAGAACATCCTTAAATACTCTATCTAAACTAGCATTCCTGGCATTCTCCATCTCTTTACCCTATTTTATTTTTATTCTTGAAATCCCTTACTCCTTGACAACCTATTACAACCTTTGTGTTTATTTGCTGATTACCTGTCTCTTTGGCTTGGATATAAGCTTTGTGGGAGTAGGGATTTTGTTTTGTTCACTACTGTGTCCCCTGCTCTTAAAACAATACCTGACCATGGTGAGAGGGTGGTCAGGATTTGCTGAATGCATGAATGAATGAATGAATGGCTCAAATGCCATCCTGTTATTGTAGATCAGGGAACTTGAGTAGAATCTTGGTTACAGAGGAGGGAAAAAGGCATTTGAGACCATTAGATTCCAGAGTTTTCCTCTCTAGCAATAGTCACCACATGGATGATGACCTCACCCAGTGCCATGGCTTTAATGACCATGGCAAACTCTTCTTGCAAGAGAGGAAAGATTTGGGATCTAATAATCTTGAATGCCTCTTTCTTGAATCTTGAGTGCTTTTCTCTTTCTATTACTTTAATACTGTCTCCTACACACAAAGGTTAATGATTGCTTTTCCTTCAAAGATAATTCGTATTTTTATAGGGAACAAAGTCATCAAGCACAGAAATGGATTTCCAATTAGACAGATTGTGTCAGCAAGCCAGGAGGGAGGGTTCACGTGTGTGTGTGCAAGGGTGGATGGTAGTAGTGGTGAGTGATGAGAGGCACACAGAGCCTTCCTGGGTTTGGAAATCATATCACAATATAAAACCAGTCTAGTATGTATGAAAGGTGATCTGGTCACTTCTTTACTCTAGAGAAAGGGCCAGAGTTAGTGTAGATGCATCCTTATGAAAATGTCATCTCTCTAAGGATTGCAGGAGCAATGAGGAAATATAATTCATACAATCTCCTCCAGGGTTTTAGACCTCAAGATAGGCCAGAGAGAGATTAAGGAAGCCAGTAGTAAAGCTAATTGTGGTGGAGATTTGCCTATCATGGTGAGATCCTGCATAGAGATGTCTGACATAGCATCTTAAATACAGCATCCAAAGAATGGAATGTTCCTGTTCAGGGTCAGGCCTTTTAAGAGCAAACCTACTGGCTGGGCGCAGTGTCAGTGGCTCACGCCTGTAATCCCAGCACTTTGGGAGGCCGAGGCAGGCAGATCACGAGGTCAGGAGATCAAGACCATCCTGGCTAACACGGTGAAACCCCGTCTCTACTAAAAAAAAAAAAAAAAAAAAAAAAAGTAGCTGGGCATGGTGGTGGGCGCCTGTAGTCCCAGCTACTAGGGAGGCTGAGGCAGGAGAATGGCGTGAACCCGGGAGGTGGATGTTGCAATGAGATAAGATCGCGCCACTGCACTCCAGCCTGAGCGACAGAGCAAGACTCTGTCTCAAAAAAATAAAAAATAAAAAATAAAGAACAAACAGACCTACTTCTAGCAAATTCAGTTCAGCTTCGGTTATTCAAAACAGTTGAGAAGCATACCTGAAGGTGTTAACCACTAGTTTGCTACATAAGCCAATAATATCTACCCTTTATTGGATACTCATTTGTTCCAAATACTATGTTAAGTGCTACTAATAATAAAATCAACAATGATTGCTAATATTTATATATTAATATAATAAATATAATATAAAACTTGCTAAGATTTATATATTAATATAACTAATATTTATTAGTTCTTATATGACAAGAATAGTTCTAAGTCTTTAGTGAGCTTATTTTATTCTTATGAAGACCCTTATGAGGGAGGTGCTAGTATTTTCTGCATTAAGCTGATCAGAAAACTGAGTTCTAGAGAGACTGTGAATTTCCCAAGGTGATTCAGTTATAAGTGGTGCAGCTGGGATTTGAACCCAGGCAGTTTACCTTCACAACCGGTGTTACGTTAAACTGCATAAATGTTAAACTCACTTAACATTCGTGACTTTAGGAAATAGGTGCTATCGTTTGCTTTTTATAGTCCCTGCATTGTGTTGCTGTAAGAAGCCTAAGCCTCTGGTGCCTTTAGCTTGTCAGTCTTGAAGGGGAAATTGATCATTTTCCTGACAGTCTGATACTGAGAAGTGATGTACTTTGAATACTTTGATACTGAGAAATGATATTTTGGTGTACAGTTCTCTGTACACCAAAAACCATAAAACAACTGTTGAGAAAAATTAAAGAAGATATAAATAAATGGAGAGATATAATGTGTTCATGAATCCAAAGACTTATATCGGTAAGATGTCAGTTCTTCCTAAATTGATTTATAGATTTGATATCACCCCAATCAAAAGCCCAGTAGGCTTTTTTTTGTAGAAATGAACAAATCGATTCTGAACTTCATATAGAAACACAAAGGACCTAGAACAGCACAAACAAAAAGCAAAACAAAAATCCTCAAAAACAAAAATCTTTATAAAAGAAGAACAAACTTGGAGGATTAATACTGCCGGATTTCAAGAATTGCAAAACTATACTAATCAAGACAATGTGATATTGGCTTAAAGACTGACAAATAGATAAGTGGAATAGAAAGAGGCCTACACACCTATATGGACAACTGACTTTTGACAAAGGTGCAAAGAAACTTTAGTGGAGAAACATAGTTCTTTCAACAAATGGTGCTAGTACACTTGGATATCAGTATTCAAAATAGTGCACTTCAGTTCATATCTTTCATTATATGAATATTAATTCAAAGTGGATCAGAAATAAATATAAAACCTAAAACTATAAAAATATAAGAGAAAATGTTTGTGACTTTGGGTAGGCAAGGATTTCTTAGTTACCACACCAAAAGCACAATCCATAAAAGAAAAAATTAATAAATAGGACTTCATAAAAATTAAAAACACCTGCTCTTCTAAAGACATTGTTATTAGACTAAGAAGACAAGCCAGACACTGGCGGAAAATGTTTACAATATATAAATCTGATAAAGTAATTGTAGCCAGAATAGATAAGAAACTCTCATTACTGAATAATAAGAAAACAAACCAAATAGAAAATGGACAAAATATTTGACCAGACATTTTATTAATGAGGACACACACAGATGACAAATAAGCATATGAAAAGATGCTCAACATCATTAGTCATTAGAGAAATGCAAATTAAAGCCACTAGAAGGTACCACTACATACCTATTAGAATAGCAAGAATTAGAAGGAAAATCTGACCATAAAATGTGTTGGCAAGGGTGAGGAGGAACTGGAACTCTCAAACACTGGTGATGGGAACATAGTTAGGCAGTTTCTTAGGAAGTTAGGAATACACTGATCATATAATCTAGTCATTGATTCCTAGATTTTTATCCAAGAGAAAAGAAAGCCTATGCCATGCACACCCTTTTACATAAATGTTTTTAGAATTTTATTTCTAATTGCCCCCAACTGGGAACAAACCAAATATCTATCAAAGGTGAATGGATAAACACACTGTGGTCCATCCGTATGAAGAATAACACTCAGCCATAATGAAAATAAATGAACTATTGATACATATTACAACATAGATACAAATCAAAGTAACTATTCTGAGTATAAGAAGCCAGAAAAAGGGTATATAAGATATGTATCATTTATATAATTTTCTGGAATATCCAAACTGATGTATAGTGACAGAAAGCAGATTAACGGTTGCCTAGGAATGGGGCTGGGGGTAGGAAGCAGCAGAGGTGGGATTACAAAGGGGCATGAGAAAACTTCTGGAGGTGATGGATGTGTTTGTTATCTTGGTTTTGGCGATGGTTCCACCAGTGCATATATATATGTCAATGTTATCAAAATTTACTTTAATTGGAGGCTTCTCTACTCAGTACAATCATCATTAATATGGAACTTTTCATGGTTATCTGGTTGGGCTCACACAATTTTTTAAAAAATAAAGGTGTAATTACAGATTAAAATAATTTATATTTTCAGTATGTGTAGTTTATCGTATGTCAGTTATGCCTCAATAAAGCTGTTTAAAGAAGCCAAGTAGGCTGGGCGCGGTGGCTCACGCTTTTAGTCTCAGCACTTTGGGAGGCCCAGGCAGGCGGATCCACTTGATATCAGGAGTTCGAGACCAGCCTGGCCAACATGGCAAAACCCCATCTCTACTAAAAATACAAAAATCAGCCAGGCATGGTGGCAGGTGCCTGTAATCCCAGACGCTCAGGAGGCTGAGGCAGGAGAATTGCTTGAACCTGGTAGGTGGAGGTTGGAGTTAGCTGAAATGGTGTCACTGTATGCCAGTCTGGGTGGCAGAGCGAGACTCCATCTCAAAACAAAACAAAACAAAAACCAAGTAGTTAATGTCTGTGGACATAGGTTTATACGTGTGTGACAAGCTGGTATGAAGGTACAGTAGTGCACAAATCCACACACACACACACACACACACACAGAACACATAAATAAAAAGTGTTATAAGGGCTACAGATAACGGTCTTGAGTTTTTAGGCAATATTCTTCATCCCCTTCATCCATTCTCCTCTACGTACTTTTCCTACACATTCCTACTTAATGGTCTGTTGTAAAGCCTTCTGACTTGGTTTCATGTGAAATCTACTGCCTCAAGTGCACAAGCTTCCAGATGGGGTTGGAGTTTGGGGCAGAGAGTAGCAAAAGGATAAGGTTAAGACGCTAACCCATCACCCAGCAGGTAAGAGGTGTCACTTAACCTTCCAGCTTCTGGAAGTTGAATTTTGTAATGAGCTGTCACTGTCTTTATCACCTAACAATTACTGCAACTGAGTAGGGTGGGATAAAACCTGGAAAACATTACTCTGTCAACAGCATTGATATCTTTGATGAAGCTGTCTATGGTGGGGTCCCGGGTACAGTTGAAAATTGGCACATGGCCTGTTAAAATGGTTTAGGTTCTTTCCATTCCTCCACTCTGCAGACTGCTCCTGGCTTGTGATATGGCAATTGTTTGGTCAGATCACTAGAGGTGGTCATGTTGTTAGAACATCCTGATCTTGACTTTATATGTGGCTCAGTCAAAATTACGCAGGCTGGTTCAGCTGCAGTTCAAGTGGCGTATGGCGTGTGGCCTGGGGTGTTGCTGGGCAACATTACTGCCTGTCCAGCTGCATGCCGAGGGTGGTGTTTACCTTAAAGAGTACACCCTGGTCTAAGGTCTGTTAGGCTCATAAAAGTGATTTTGTTGGCGTGCTTAGGGTGGAGTCAGCACACCACGTCAGATATAATTAAATTCGTCTATACAACTGACAAGTAGACCAGAATGTGTTGAGGCAGAGCTGCCAATAGTCTCACTATGTGAGGAGCCAAATTATCACAAGGTTGCTTGGTGTCCACAGGATCAGAACAAGTGCTCTTAATGGATCTTAGAATGCTGCTGTCAATGGCTTGAGGCACTCTTGCTCACAACAGGGAACGTCTCATAAAGGGAACCATACTTTTGGTCAACACTGCCAAGACTATGTTTTTCTTAGATGCTTCCATGTCCAAGGGCTTTGCCATCTAGAGGGGCTTTCAGACCCTCTGATTCTCCTTCTTTCTTGCTTCTTTGGCTGACCAGCCCCTTCTGTTCACATACCTTTCATCCAATCAGATAACATGGATAACATTTCATCCAATCAGGCACAATGCAGCCACTTGGCATTCTGCTCACTGACTTACAACCATATATTCATCTTCCTCATTACTATACCCCAGATCAGCAGGACTGAAGTTTAAGAAGTTCCCACACTCTTCTATTTTACAGACAGATGGATGTTTTCTTGGTTTACTTCCATAATTGACTAATTGCAGCCATTTTGTTTTACTAGTGTGTATGTATTGAATGTATGCATTTTGCTAATTTAACTCTGAAATCTTCCTTATGTCCAAGTCCTTTGGAGGTATCTAACTAGCTTGCCTCTCCTCTCCTGCCATTGATTTGAGTCCAGACTTTGCCATAAACTAACCTATGCTCAGCAAACGCATTCATCTTATTGGCTTCAAACAGGCTGTTAATAAAATGGATACAATATTTCTGACTCACAAGAACAAACATTTTTTGAAGAGCTGGAACAGCTAGCATGAAAAGAAGAGCTTGAGATGAAAAAGTGAACAATGAAGGCACATGTGATTGAATTCTTCCACTGTACTCTTTTATATCTGACCTGTAAAATCTAGGAAGTGTGATTATATTTTGGGAAAAGGCAGCTAAATTAAGTAATATAATTCTGGTACTGCTATAAACCTATTTTCTATTATTATTGTTATTTGATTTTATGTGGTAATATTCAGGTTAAATCAGCACCATACTTTGCAGCCAAATGGCAGATATTTTATTTTATTTTATTTATTTATTTTTGAGATGGAGTCTCGCTATTTCGCCCAGGCTGGAATGCAGTGGCGCGATCTTGGCTCACCTCAACCCCCACCTCCCGGGTTCACGCCATTCTCCTGCCTCAGCCTCCCGAGTAGCTGGGACTACAGGCACCTGCCACCACGCCTGGCTAATTTTTGTATTTTTAGTAGAGACGAGGTTTCACCATGTTACACAGGATGGTCTTGATCTCCTGACCTCATGATCTGCCTGCCTCAGCTTCCCAAAGTGCTGGGATTACAGGCGTGAGCCACTGTGCCTGGCCAGCAGATATTATTTGTATTTATTTTCTCTCCCTAGCTGTTATAGGTCAGGGGTGGGGAGGGTAGGGAAGGAGAGAAGGAGATCTCAGACTGTTAAATAATTTCTCCAAGATCCTTAAGAATAAGAGAAACAATATGCAGCATTTAATTATTCCATACCAGATCTCCAGGTGAAAATCTAAAAATTCAGGCAAAAAATCCTATAGATATATAACCTCTGTAATGGTAAAGTCAGAGTTTAAAAAAATAGGTATGTAACTAACTGTTCCATTAGCACTTGTGTAGACGGTTCCACGGGGGCAAAGATGCATGCAGATTTTCACACAGGAGTTCTTTCCACTCGTATTACCTCCAGACAGCCTTACGATTCCGTTAAGGAGACTCCATTTGCCTATTTGCCTGTGTCCATTTCCTCATTCTTTAGCAGGTATTTGTTGGAAGCCTCTGTTGTTTCTCACATTTGCTCGGAACTATGAGCAGGACAACCTTTCAAGACATATGTTTTCATGAGCCACAGCGACGCTTGCAAGCCAGGCTGATACCATCCAGACCTTCATTCCCCCCAAAGGCTGTCTCCACCTTTTAAGCTCTCTTGACAGAATCAAACACAAAACACAAGCCTTAGTATGTGACTTCTGGCCTCCAAATAAAGCATTATGGGGTATTCTGTTTCTATTTTCCTTGACTTTCCCCAAAGTAATTTTATATCCCTTAGGAGCCAAGAAGCATTTCCCATAATTACGGTTGGCTACTGGCACTTGCTCCTTGAGGTATTCATCTGTGCAGCTCCCAGACCAAGAGGCATTGCCCTGGAACTGCGGGTTTTGCAGCAGAGTGGTCGTCCTCCTCCTCACCGTGGAGTCCTGCGTAGAAGAGCAGGAAACAAAGCTCCAGCTGTACCTCGAGACCAAATGAGCCCTTTTATCCATTAATTGGAATTAATAAGGGTGGGCAAGAGGCCCCTGGGTGAACACTGCGCTGGGCTGTCACTGACTAGCTGTGGGTAACATGTCTTCCGAGTCTCAGTCGCCTCAACTGCAAAACCTTAAAAAGGGATTGAAAGAAAGGGGCAGCTAACATCTCTCCGAGGCAGGCACTGTCAGCAGCTGTGCTCATCTCTACATCTCCCTGCTTTCTTCGGATTTAGGTTGATGATGCGATTGAGTGCTAGACGGTAGAGTGCCAGTGGAAGTGATGTACTCTGCTTTCTAGCCTGCTCCCTAACATGTCCCACACACTCCCTCTTGAAGAAGACGGAGTGTTTCACATGCTGGAAGTGAAAGGCCCCGAGATACTGGAGCCCATGATGGAAGAGACCCAGATCCCCGAGGACAGCTGTCCAGGAGAGTCCCTGACTGGACCACGAGTGAGAACAGTGTGTTGTGCTGAGCCACTGAGCTTGTACGATTTCCTTGCTACTGCGGTTCACTGCAGCACTATCCTCGTGAAGGTGCTCTACTGGGTCCAAAATTCTGTGTATCTAGGGAATGGCAGAGCACAGGGCAGAAATAGAATGAGGTTTTTTTTTTTTTTTTTTTTTTTTTGAGACGGAGTCTCGCTCTGTCGCCCAGGCTGGAGTGCAGTGGCACAATCTCTGCTCACTGCAAGCTCCGCCTCCCGGGTTCACGCCATTCTCCTGCCTCAGCCTCCCCAGTAGCTGGGACTACAGGCACCTGCCACCAAGCCCAGCTAATTTTTTGTATTTTTAGTAGAGACGGGGTTTCACCGTAGTAGCCAGGATGGTCTTGATCTCCTGACCTCGTGATCAACCTGCCTCGGGCTCCCAAAGTGCTGGGATTACAGGCGTGAGCCACCGCGCCCGGCCAGAATGAGATTTTTAACACGAGCAGGAAGCACTCCATGTAAACCTACTGTTTAATTGGATATTGTACTCAAAGGTGCTTCTCTAAATGAGCCAGTGAAAACCCAAGTGGGCGTTGGATAATACTTAACAGATAGGGTTGCATAGTTTCAGTGTAACGGTGCCTCTGTGGGTTACAGCACCATGGTCAAAACTGGAAAAATAGTTTCTTAGAAACGAATAAAGGCAAACTATGGGAAAATGGTCATGGAAGGCTCTCTCACTAAGAAGAAGAAAACTCAGAATGTCTTGTTATTAGCAACATAGATCTCCAACTAAAGGGCTTACTCATCCCTGCACTTGTGATGTCTGCATGGAGATGGTGAGTACAGGGTCACCTTTGAGTTCTCTGTCATTGTCATATTTTTGCTGTGCTGCTTCCAGAATCTTTTTCATCATGTAATCAGAGATAGTGATTAGGTCTGGGTGGTTATTGATCATTTGGGGAAAATAGACTTACTTTAATCCTTCTTCAGAATGGATTCCCACAGATAAGGTTTTCATCTGGACTTATTTTTACTGAGTGAAAGTGCCATTTTCAAGAAACCCCCAAAGCTTTATATTTTAGAATAAGTGAGGCCCATCTATGGGAAAAGAAAGCCACAGAAGACACTGAAAAACCACATGACCCGGTGTTAAATCAAGAAAAGCGTCTGGTAGGCATGGGAAAGCCTGTTTAAGCTTCGAGGTCACTTTCTGCATCTCAGCTCCTGTTTATTTTCTGGACCTTGGTCAGCGTCTTCTTGACAGTGTAATTTCTGCAATGCAGCTGGACTTTGTGACCCATAATCAAACCCAGAAAGCCTTCAGCAATCCCATCTGGGTGAGGGGCTCCATTTTGTTTGGTTGAAATGAAAAAGTTAAACCTCCATCCAGACATGCCTCTTTGCAGGCCCAATGACTCTTCCACCAGCAGGACACTTCGTCTTTGAATAGGCTTCTCATTTTCCAGACAAGCTCAGGGGATCTGCATCCTCCAGTAAAATTTCTGTCTGCACAAAATTGCCTTTTAGTGGTGATTTATAACTCAATAAAATGACATCTCAAAAAGGAGAATTGGTTTGAGTCTATAACTGATGTGATTTATGCATGTTTTAGTTTTGGAATACACAGAATTTATGCAATGGAGAGAGGTCTCTGTGATGTGATGTGCAGATGTACATCCACAGAACTCATGACAAGGAGGGAGGTGCAAATGTCCTCAGGCATCCTCTAAGCACAGACCTCCCTGGGTTCTAATACAAAGAATATTCTTACTGAGCTCAGCCTCAAGCAGAGGGCTTCATGATTTTCTGGGTATCAGAAACATCCATGGAACTTGCTAAAATTATACATTCCTGGGCTCCACCCTAGAACCCATGAACTAGATTCATTAAGAATGGGGTGGGGTCCAGGGATCTGTAGTTTAACAATCTCTACAGGTGGTTCCAGTCACATACTTGAGAAACCACTCCAAGTTGAGAAACACTTGTAGTTTGTAATCATTCACTGCCAATGAACTATTTGCTGTAAAAAGGGGAAGGGAACAAATGCTTTTTAAATGCCTTCTTTGTGTCAAGCATTGTTGCTAGACAATCTAAGTCTATGTTTTTTTTTTTGTTTAAATCTTGCAACAGTCCAATAAGATGGGTATTATTATATTCATTTTGCACAGGAGAAATTGGAGGTTCAGAGAGGTTAAGAAATATTAGCAAACAGCAAGATAGAGATTTGAACCCAGACCTTTCTGGCGCCACAGTGCACTTTTCCACTAACCCATGTTAGCAGCCCAGGATTGGGCCAAATATTTTCGAGTTTTTAATATGTTACCCTTAGATCTACTGAGAGACATTGTGAGAAATTTCTTTGTTTTCTATCCCCCCCTCTCAGCTTTATCGAAGCATATTTGACAAATAAAAATTGTATATAGTTACAGTGTACAACATGATGCTTTGATATACATATACATTGTGAAATAATTACCACAACCAAGCTAATTGAAATATCTGTCACCTCACACCATGACCGTCTATGTGTGTGTGTGTGCGTGTTGAGAATATTTAAGATCTACTGTGGTAGCAAGTTTCAAGTATATATTAAATACAGTATTTTTAACCATGTCACCATGTTATTTATTAGATTCCCAAAACTTGTTCATCTTGTAACTGAAAATGTGTACTCTTTGACCAACATCTTTCCAATCCTCCCAGTCCCCCAACCCCTGGTAAGCACAGTTCTACTTTCTGCTTCTATGAGTCTGTCTTTTTTAGATGCCATATATAAAGTGAGATCATGTAGTATTTGTCTTTCTGTGCCTGGCTTATTTCACTCAGCATAATGTCCTCCAGGTTCATCCACATTGTCACAAATGACAGGACTTCCTTCTTCTTCAAGGCTGAATAGAATTCCATTGTGTAAGTGTGTGTGTGTGTGTATGTGTGTATGTGTGTGTGTGTATCACATTTTCTTTATCTGCTCATGTATTAGTAGAATCAACACTTAGGTTGATTCTATATCCTGGCTATTGTGAATAATGTTGTAATGAACATGGAGGTGCATAGAACTCTTTGAGGTACTGATTTCATTTCCTTTGGATATATACCCAGAAGTGGAGTTACTGCTACATATGATAATTGTATTTTTAAATTTTGAGGAACCTGCATGCTGTGTTCCATAACGACTATACCAGCTAATATGGTTTGGCTCTATGTCTCTACCCAAATCTCATGTTGAATTGTGATCTTCAGTGTTGGGGGAGGGGTCTGGTGGGAAATGTTGGATCATGGGGGTGGATTTCCCTTTTGCTGTTCTCGTGATAGTGAGTAAGTTCTCATGAGATCTGGTTGTTTGAGAGTGTGTAGCACTTCCCCCTTTGCTCTCTCCCTCTCCTGTTCCAGCCATATAGGATGTGCTGGCTTCCCTTTTGTCTTCTGCCATGATTCTAAGTTTCCTGAGGCCTCTGCAGCCATGTTTCCTGTACCGCCTGCAGAACTGTGAGCCCATCAAACCTCTTTTCTTTATAAATTACCCAGTCTTAGGTAGTTCTTTATAGCAATGTAAGAACGAACTAATATATCAGTTTACATTCCTACCAACAGTATACGTGGGTTCCCTTTTCCCATATCCTCACAACACTTATTAGTGTTTTTGATGATAGCCAACTGGGGTAAGATGATATCTCATTATGGTTTTGATCTGTATATCCCTGATGATTAGTGATACGGTTTGGCTGTGTCCCCACCCAAACCTCATCTTGAATTGTATCTCCCATAATTCCCACATGTTGTGAGAGGAATCTGGTGGGAGGTAATTGAATCATGGGGACGGGTCTTTCCCGTGCTGTTCTTATGGCAGTGAGTAAGTCTCACAAGATCTGATGGTTTTGTAAAGGGCAGTTCCACTACACAAGCTCTCTTGCCTGCTGCCATGAAAGACGTGCCTTTGCTCCTCCTTTGCCTTCTGCATTGACTGTGAGGCCTCCCCGGCCATGTGGAATGGTGAGTCCATTAAACCTCTTTTTCTATATAAATTACCCAGTCTTGGGTAGGTCTTTATTAGCAGTGTGAGAACAGACTAATACAATTAGTGATATTGCACACCTTTGTATGTACCTCTTGGCCATTTGTATGTCTTCTTTTGACAAATGTCTTTTCAGGTTCTCTGCCCATTTATTTAGCCAGATTATGTTTTATTGTTATTATTGTATGAGTGCGTTTTATTTTTCTGACTGTTAACCCATTATCAGATGGATGGTTTGCAAATATTTTCTCCCATTCTGTAGGGTGCGAGATATTTCTTAAGAAGATAATGGTAAGTCCTTCCACTCACTTGAGGAAAGTAAATTTCAGATTTGTAGTGGACACTGGGGTCCATGACCTGACACCCCACTTCAGGCTTAGTCAATCATTCTGTCAGCTATGGAAGGGTTGGCACCTAGCAGCTTGCTTCAGAGTCCCCTCTTGAGATTGTCCCCAGCTGAGGCACAGCACACCTCCTCCCTCGGGTGGCCTGTTTACAGTGACTGTCTAGGAAGGGGCATAAACTTCCAACTACCTTGCCTCAGTTCAGACAACATGGAAGGACATCCCAGCTTTGGAGGGCCTCTGTGACTTGCTGGGGTCTTTATCCTGATTTCAGCTTCCTCCTCTGCCTAATCCTGCTTCCTCTCTTGCCTTGACAGTTTCCCAGGAGCACTCTCCACAAACTTCCAGCATGCCAATCTCCATCTCAAAATTTGCTTCTCTGGGAATGCAACCTGTGGTGTTGCTCAATCAAACTGTTCCTGTAGACACATTACACCCACGTTAGGTGTGTGATGGACTGAATTGTGACCCCCACCCCAAATTCATGTTGAAACTTTAACACCAAGGAACTCCAAATGTGACTGTGTTTAGAGATAGGGTCTTCACAGAAGTAATTAAGTTAAAATGAGGTCACATGGGTGGGCCCTAATCCAATATGACAGGAGTCCTTATAAGAAGAGGAGATGAGGACACAGCCACCCACAGAGGGAAGACCACACAGGGAGAAGATGAAGGTCTACAAGTCAAGGAGAGAGGCTTCAGGAGAAATCAACCCTGCAGACACCTTATCTTGGACTTCCAGCCTCCAGAACTGTGAGAGAATAAATTTCTGTTGTTTAAGCCCCCACTCTGTGATACCTTGTCATGGCAGCCCAAGCAGATACAATAGGCGGATTTAGAGGTTCTTCGTTTTGATCCTGATTCTTTCACTTTTATACTTAAGGAACAACTCAGAAATCTGAACAGGTTAAATTCTCTTTTAAGTATAATGAAGCAGGATGGTAATTCTCACTACATAGTGTTTTCATATTCCCTACAATAGGTCAGGATAATCATGTTTTTAGAGAGGTGATAAAGAATATGCATTACCTCTCTTCATCACATCTCTCTGTTTACAGCATTTACTACAAACCTGAGGCAGATGTAAATACACGGTGTGGATAAGTACCTTGGAACTGCAGTGAACTTGCATTTAGTGGGAAAGAATGGCAAAATTTCCTTCCTTCCTTTCTTTCTTCCTTCCTTCCTTCCTTTCCTTCCTTCCTTTCCTTTCCTTTCCTTTCCTTTCCCTTCCTTCCTTCCTTCCTTCCTTCCTTCCTTCCTTCCTTCCTTTCTTTTCTTTCTTTCTCTTTTTTGAGACAAAGTCTTGCTCTATCACCCATGCTGGAGTGCAGTAGCGTGATCTGAGCTCACTGCAACCTTCACCTCCTGGGTTCAAGCAATTCTCCTGCCTCAGCCTCCGGAGTAGCTGGGATTACAGGTGCACATCACCATGCCCGGCTAATTTTTGTATTTTTAGTAGAGACATGGTTTCGCCATCTTGCCCAGGCTAGTCTTGAACTCCTGACCTCAGGCGGTCCACCCACCTCGGCCTCCCAAAGTGCTGGTATTATAGGCGTGAGCCACCACGCCCAGCCGATTTGGCTTTTTTTCTTTAGATAAACTATAACATGCCATGCCTGGCTGCAGGCTTCCTGCCCTAATGCAAAGGTGAAAAAGCTTTGCAGTTTAATTTGTTTTGTTTTTTTTTTTTTTTGGTTTTCATTTTTTTCTGAGCCAGCCCCTTTATTCTTTATTGTCTTCAGTGGAGCAATGGTAAATGTTTAACTACCAGCTCTTTGAAAATGAAATAAAACAGAACCATCCTGGGAAAAGAATGCTGCAGGGTGCCAGCCTCTCTGCAGCCAGGGACAGCTCTCCAGGTGTGAGGAGACCTCTCCGCCTTCCTCCTCACACTGATATTAGTGCAGTTCCCTCAGGGCTTGCTTTTATTTGCTGAGGCTTCTTGTAAGGGGTTTACTTTTAAGAGTATTTATGAGTTTAGCACAGGCTTCCCCAGTGAATTTTTCTGTCCATGCCTTCACTCATGGTGTCTTCATTGTCACCTCTGGAACCAGAAAAATCACAGCTTAAGGAAGTTCAGGTGAGTGACCAAGTCTAGCCCCATCCAGATTCCCAAGGCTCATTCTCCCACCAGGCCTTTCATTATGCTCTGTGTCTCTCATCTTCTCCCTTCAATGATTTCTTTTAGCTGCACTGACTTGACTTTTTATGTGCTATAAAACTCAGGAAGCTTCTTTTGAGGGCTTAGTACGTGCCAAACACAATTCTAAGCAACATGCATGTTTAATCATCACAAACCCTTTGAGGTCGGTACTATTCTCATTCTCATATTGTAGATGAAGAAACTGAGGCACAAAGAGGGTTAATAACTTGTTCAAGGCCCTATTACTCAATAGAGGCAAGACTGGGATTCAAACTAGGCAGTATGGCTTCTAGTCCGTATTTTTTTTTCTTTTCTTTTTTTTTTTTTGGAGACAGAGTCTCGCTTTGTCGCCTAGGTTGGAGTGCAGTGGTGCAATCACAGCTCACTGCAACCTCTGCCTCTGGGGTTCAAGCAATTCTCATGCCTCAGCCTTCTGAATAGCTGTTACTATAGGTGCGCACCACTACACCCAGCTAATTTTTCTATTTTTAGTAGAGATGGGGTTTCACTCTGTTGGTCAGGCTGCTCTCGAACTCCTGACCTCAACTTATCTGCCCGCCTTGACCTCCCAAAGTGCTGGGATTACAGGCATGAGCCACTGCACCCAGCCCCAGTCCATATTTTTAACCAGCATCCTACCTGAAAAAGAGCAGTAGGAATATATGTATGCGTAGTGTGAAGTGATGTGTGTGTGTGAGTGTGTGTATCTGTGTGTATGAAAAGTTAAAATAAAGTTTAATAATGGGGGAAAAAATCACCCAGAAGTCATGAAATTAAAGACCTCAAAGGCCCTTTTGACTCAACATAGATAATTCTAAAGCAAATTAAAAAATTGAGGTGGTGAAATTATATGGTTTTTAGGTTTAGAATTCCAAAAGTTGAGAATCAGCATGTATTGGAAATACCATAGAACTAATGTTAATTGCAGAGTTACAGCTGGAATGAAATACTGACTTGCTTCAGGGAATGTTTTATCTCCCTGTATCTCTCTGTTTTTGTCTCAGTTTAGTAATGTTGGCTGAGTAGGTATAAAAAATGAGAAGAGAGACATTTTTTGTTTCACTATTCATAGAGAAATTGGTATTTATATTGAATGGATTGAGAATTCACAAATAAATATAGTTTGTTCCAGTTTGGATTACTAATTTGGTTTGGTGGAAGCCTCTGAAGTATCCAGTTCTGTGACAGACTTTTGCCATAGAATCTAGTACTAGCGAGGATTGTTAAGAGGTCATTACCTTGACCTTAAAACATCACAGTAAGCGGGCTATTGTCCAAGATGGACGAATAGGAACAGCTCCAGTCTGCAGCTCCCAGCAAGATTGATGCAGAAGATGGGTGATTTCTGCATTTCCAACTGAGGCACCTGATTCATCTCACTGGGACCGGTTGGACAGTGGATGCAGCCCATGGAGGGTGAGCTGAAGCAGGGTGGGGCATTGCCTCATCAGGGAAATGCAAGGGGTTGGGGTATTTCCCTTTCCTAGCCAAGGGAAGCCATGACAGACTGTACCTGGAGAAACAGTACACTCCTGACCAAATACTGTGCTTTTCCCACAGTCTTAGCAACCAGCAGACAAGAAGATACCCTCCTGTGCCGGCTCAGTGGGTCCCACGCCCACAGAGCCTTGCTCACTGCTAGCGCTGCAGTCTGAGATCGACCTGCAACGCTGCAGCTTGAGGGGGGGAGGGGCATCTGCCATTGCTGAGGCTTGAGTAAACAAAGTGTCACAGTGAAAACAAAGAGGCCAGGAAGTACAAACTGGGCAGAGCCCACCACAGCTCAGTAAGGCCTACTACTTCTACAGATTCCACCTCTGGGGTCAGGGCATAGGAGAACAAAAGGCAGCAGACAGCTTCTGCAGACTTAAACGTCCCTGTCTGACAACTCTGAAGAGAGCAGCGGTTCTCTCAGCATGGCATTTGAGCTCCAAGAACGGACAGACTGCCTCCTCAAGTGGGTCCTTGACCCCTGTGTAGCCTGACTGGGAAACACTTCCCAGTAGGGGCCAACAGACACCTCAAACAGGTGAGTGCCCCCCTGGGACGAAGCTTCCAGAGGAAGGATCAGGCAGCAATATTTGCTGTTCTGCAGCCTCCGCTGGTGATACCCAGGCAAACAGGGTCTGGATTAGACCTCCAGCAAACTCCAACAGACCTGAAGCTGAGGGGTCTGTAAGAAGGAAAACTAACAAACGGAAAGGAATAGCATCAACATCAACAAAAAGGACATCCACACCGAAACTCCATCTGTAGGTCACCAATGTCAAAGTCCAAAGGTAGATAAAACCACAAAGATGGGGAGAAACCAGAGCAGAAAAGCTGAAAATTCCAAAAAAACAGAGTGCCTCTTCTCCTCCAAAGGATTGCAGCCCCTCACCAGCAAAGGAACAAAACGGGACAGAGAATGAGTTTGATGAGTTGACAGAAGTTGGCTTCAGAAGGTCTGTGATAACAAACTTCTCTGAGCTAAAGGAGCATGTTCTAACCCATTGCAAGGAAGCTAAAAACCTTGAAAAAAGATTAGATGAATGGCTAACTAGAATAAACAGTGTAGAGAAGACCTTAAATGACCTGATGGAGCTGAAAACCACGGCATGAGAACTTCATGACTCATGCACAAGATTCAATAGCCTATTCGATCAAGTGGAAGAAAGGATATCAGTGATTGAAGATCAAATTAATGAAATAAAGCAAGAAGAGAAGTTTAGAGAAAAAAAGAGTAAAAGGAAATGAACAAAGCCTCCAGGAAATATAAGACTATAAGAAAAGACCAAATCTACGTTTGATTGGTGTACCTGAAAGTGACGGGAAGAATGGAATCAAGTTGGAAAACACTCTTCAGGATATTATCCTGGAAAACTTCCTCAACCTAGCAAGGCAGGCCAACATTCAAATTCAGGAAATACAGAGAACACCACAAAGATACTCCTCAAGAAGAGTAACCCCAAGACACATAATTGTCAGATTCACCAAGGTTGAAATGAAAGAAAAAATGTTAAGGGCAGCCAGAGAGAAAGGTCGGGTTACCCACAAAGGGAAGCCCATCAGACTAACAGCGGATCTGTTGGCAGAAACCCTACAAGCCAGAAGAGAGTGGGGGCCAATATTCAACATTCTTAAAGAAAAGAATTTTCAACCCAGAATCTCATATCCAGCCAAACTAAGCTTCATAAGTGAAGGAGAAATAAAATCCTTTATAGACAAGCAAATGCTGAGAGATTTTGTCACTACCAGGCCTGCCTTATAAGAAGAGCTCCTGAAGGAAGCACTAAGCATGGAAAGGAATAACTGGTACTAGCCACTGCAAAAACATGCCAAATTGTAAAGACCATTGATGCTATGAAGAAACTGCATCAATTAACAGGCAAAATAATGAGCTAACATCAAAATGACAGGATCAAATTCACACATAACAATATTAATCTTAAGTGAAAATGGGCTAAATGCCCCAGTTAAAAGTCACGGACTGGCAAATTGGATAAAGAGTCAAGACCCATGGGTGTGCTGTATTCAGGAGACCCATTTCATGTGCAAAGACGCACATAGGCTCAAAATAAAGGGATGGAGGAAGATCTACCAAACAAATGGAAAGCAAAAAAAAGCAGGGGTTACAATCCTAGTCTCTGATAAAACAGACTTTAAACCAACAAAGATCAAAAGAGACAAAGAAGGCCACCACATAATGGTAAGGGGATCAATTCACCAAGAAGAGCTAACTATCCTAAATATATATGCACCCAATACAGGAGCAACCAGATTCATAAAGCAAGTCCTTAGAGATCTACAAAGAGACTTAGACTCCCACACAATAATAATGGGAGACTTTAAAACCCCACTGTCAGTATTAGACAGATCAATGAGACAGAAGGTTAACAAGGATATCGAGGGCTTGAACTCAGCTCTGCACCAAGTAGACCTAATAGACATCTACAGAACTCTCCACCCCAAATCAACAGAATATACATTCTTCTCAGCACCACATTGCACTTATTCTAAAATTGACCACTTAGTTGGAAGTAAAGCACTCCTCAGCAAATGTAAAAGAACAGAAACCACAACAAACTCTCCCTGACTACAGTGCAATCAAATTAGAACTCAGGATTAATAAACCCACTCAAAACCACACAACTACATGGAAACTGAACAACATGCTCCTGAATGACTACTGGGTAAGTAACGAAATGAAGGCAGAAATAAAGATGTTCTTTGAAACCAATGAGAAAAAAGATGCAACACACCAGAATCTCTGGGATACATTTAGAGCAGTGTGTAGAGGGAAATTTATAGCACTAAATGCATACAAGAGAAAGCAGGAAAGATCTAAAATCGACACTCTAACATCACAATTAAAAGAACTAGAGAAGCAAGAGCAAACAAATTCAACAGCTAGCAGAAGGCAAGAAATAACAAAGATCAGAGCAGAACTGAAGGAGAGAGAGACACAAAAAACCCTTCAAAAAATCAATGAATCCAGGAGCTGTTTTTTTAAAAAGATCAACAAAATAGATAGACTGCTAGCAAGACCAATAAAAAAGAAAAGAGAGAAGAATCAAATAGATGCAATAAAAAATGATAAAGGGGATATCACCACTGATCCCACAGAAATGCAAACTACCATCAGAGAATACTATAAACACCTCTATGCAAATAAACTAGAAAATCTAGAAGAAATGGATAAATTCCTGGACACATACACTCTCTCAAGACTAAACCAGGAAGAAATTGAATCTCTGGATTGACCAATAACAGGCTCTGAAATTGAGGCAATAATTAATAGCCTACCAACCAAAAAAAGTCCAGGACCAGACAGATTCACAGCTGAATTCTACCAGAGGTACAAAGAGGAGCTGGTACCATTCCTTCTGAAACTATTTCAATCAATAGAAAAAAGGGGAATCCTCCCTAACTCATTTTATGAGGCTAGAATCATCCTGATACCAAAGCCTGGTAGAGACACAACAAAAAAAGATAATTTTAGGCCATATCCCTGATGAACATTGATGCAAAAATCCTCAATAAAATACTGGCAAACCGAATCCAGCAGCACATCAAAAAGCTTATCCACCACGATCACATTGGCTACATCCCTGGGATGCAAGGCTGGTTCAACATACACAAATCTGTAAATGTAATCCATCACATAAACAGAACCAATGACAAAAACCACATGATCATCTCAATAGATGCAGAAAAGGCCTTCGATAAAATTCAACAGCGCTTCATGCTAAAAACTCTCAATAAAATAGGTATTGGTGGAACGTATCTCAAAATAATAAGAGCTATTTATGACAAACCCACAGCCAATATCATACTGAATGGACAAAAGCTGGAAGCATTCCCTTTGAAAACCGGCACAAGACAGGGATGCCCTCTCTCACCACTCCTATTCAACATAGTGTTGGAAGTTCTGGCTAGGGAAATCAGGTAAGAGAAAGAAATAAAGGGTATTCAATTAGGAAAGGAGGAAGTCAAATTGTCCCTGCTTGCAGATGACATGATTGTATATTTAGAAAACCCCATTGTCTCAGCCCAAAATCTCCTTAAGCTAATAAGCAACTTCAGCAAAGTTTCAGGATACAAAATCAATGTGCAAAAATCACAAGCATTCCTATACACCAATAATAGACAAACAGAGAGCCAAATCATTAGTGAACTCCCATTCACAATTACTACAAAAAGAATAAAATACCTGGGAATCCAACTTACAAGGGACGTGAAGGAACTCTTCAAGGAGAACTACAAACCACTGCTCAATGAAATAAAAGAGGACACAAACAAATGGAAGAACATTCCATGTTCATGGATAGGAAGAATCAATATTATGAAAACGTCCATACTTTCCAAGGTAATTTATAGATTCAGTGTCATCGCCATCAAGCTACCTGACTTTCTTTACGTAATTGGAAAAAACTACTTAAAAGAACAAAGCTGGAGGCATCCCGCTACCTGACTTCAAACTATACTACAAGCTAGAGTAACCAAAACAGCATGGTACTGGTACCAAAACAGATATATAGATCAATGGAACAGAACAGAGGCCTCAGAAATAACATCACACATCTACAACCATCTGAACTTTGGCAAACCTGAAAAAAACAAGCAATATTGAAAGGGTTCCCTATCTAATAAATGGTGCTGGGAAAACTGGCTAGCCATATGTAGAAAGCTGAAACTGGATCCCTTCTTTACACCGTATATAAAAATTAACTAGAAGCATTAAATACTTAAATGTAAGACCTAACACTGTAAAAATCCTAAAAGAAAACCTAGGCAATACCATTCAGGACATAGACATGGGCAAGGACTTCATGACTAAAATACCAAAAGCAATGGCAACAAAAGCCAAAATAGACAAATGGGATCTAATTAAACTAAAGAGCTTCTGCACAGCAAAAGAAACTACCATCAGAGTGAACAGGCAGCCTACAGAATGGGAGAAAATCTTTGCAGTCTACCCATCTGAAAAAGGGCTAATATTCAGAATCTACAAAGAACTTAAACAAATTTACAAGAAATAAACAAACAACCCCATCAAAAAGTGGGCAAAGGATATGAACAGACACTTCTCAAAAGAAGACATTTATGCAGCCAACAGACATATGAAAAAATGCTCATCACTTGTCATCAGAGAAATGCATATCAAAACCACAAAGAGATACTATCTCACACCAGTTAGAATGGCCATCATTAAAAAGTCAGGAAACAACAGATGCTGGAGAGGATGTGGAGAAATAGGAAGGGTTTTACACTGTTGGTGGGAGTGTAAACTGGTTCAACCATTGTGGAAGACAATGTGGCGGTTCCTCAAGGATCTAGAACTAGAAATACCATTTGACCCAGCCATCCCATTACTGGGTATATACCCAAAGGATTATAAATCATGCTACTATAAGGACACATGCACACGTATGTTTATTGGGGCACTATTCACAATAGCAAAGACTTGGAACCAACCCAAATATCCATCAATGATAGACTGGATTGAGAAAATGTGGCACATATACACCATGGAATACTATGCAGTCATAAAAAAGGATGAGTTCATGTCCTTTGTAGGGACATGGATAAAGCTGGAAACCATCATTCTAAGCAAACTATCACAAGGACAGAAAACCAAACATTGCATGTTCTCACTCATAGGTGGGAGTTGAACAATGAGAACACATGGACACAGGGTGGGGAACCTCACACACCGGGGCCTGTCAGTGGGTGGGGGCCTGGGGGAGATATAGCATTAGGAGAAATACCTAATGTAAATGATGAATTGATGGGTGCAGCAAACCCACATGGCACATGTATACCTATGTAACAAACCTGCACGTTTTGCACATGTACCCTAGAACTTAAAATATAATTAAAAAAACCCACAGTGATATGACAATCAAACTTGTTTTTAATGCCTTCCAGGGAAATCCTTTTGTTACTTATCAAATTATTTAAAGAAAGCATTTCTTATTATATTTACCTTGGAACGTTTGCCCAGAAAGGAGATTGGGCTGTTCTTGGCTTGATACGGTGCCCAGAGCTTTTTTATTTGTGTGCAGTTGATGGTTGATTCTCTGAGATACAGAAAACAGTTGATCGATCTCAATAGATAAGGGAATTTACCTTTTTTCATTTTGAGCATGAGTTACTCTATGTGCATTTTCTCATTTCATCCTCTGAACAATCTTCCTGTCACCATTTTATAAACACAGAAACAGAGATTCAAAAGGGTCAGGTCACTGGCTCCAGGTCAACTCTACTACTAAACAGAAAAGCAAGGACCAAAATTCAGATCTTTGTGACCCTCAATGCCACTATGCCATGCGATGATGCCTGCCTCTTTTAGAGGCCAACTAATAGGTAAAATTACATATCATTTCTTCTACTGAATTTTCATAAAACCTTTAGGAAGCCTTGGTTAGATAGAAAAATTGATTATTTTCATCCTACACTCTACTCCAGGCCAACTTGATTTTCTTGAGGAATGGCCGAATGGAAGTTGAATGGTTGAAGGTGACTGGCAAACAGAGAAACAAGGCACCAAGAACTGGCTATTTCCAAACGTGGGCAATCAGCTTCTGAATGAATAGTTCAGTGAGTGTAACTTCCAGGCTTGCTCGGGCACCATTATGTTAAGTGGAATAATCTATCTGCATCCCAGAAGACTGCTTCCCCAGAGATTTCTGGATGGAATAGGATGCCCTGTGGGCATCAGTGCATCCATGTAAAAAATTCACCTAACAGCAAAATCTGGCAGTCTAAACTTAACAGTATTTTCCCCAAATGTTAGTTGCAGGCCCGTATGACAAAAAAACATGATTTGTATTATTATTGCAGAGAATTTAGGCTGAGCAAACTGGAAAAAGGGGAATCACAAATTGTCTGTTTTTTTCTATCAGTACTCACCCTTGTCCACATTTTGCCCCAAGGAATGATGCAGCTCTGGATGTTGGAAAGGACAATTCCGGCGTTTTACTCTTCTGACCAGTTTCTTCGTTTTCATAACTCTACTTGAAGAACATATGATGTTTGCCAGTGTCTGACATTACGGACCTCACAGCTTACTGAATCTGAAAACAGGAGATAGAGATGGAAAGGTTGGTAAGATCTGAAAAAAATTGAGATGCTTTTCATCATTTAAGGGTTGCATCATAGCAGCTGGAAAAGCCAAATCCATAGTCTTGTGAATGGAATCCATCATCCATTCATTCATGCAATCAAAGAAAGCATTTATGGGGTTCTTACTATGCTTTAGTTGGAACTTCAAAGACACATAAAATATAGTCCTGTCCTCAAGGATCCCACAGTCTCACTGAACAAACAAAAATACAGCACAATAAAATGTTACATCATTTCGGGTCAAATGTGCAGTGGGTCTGGTGAGGGCACAAAGGAAGGTCAATCTTGGGTGGAGTCTTGAGAGATGGGTAGACGTTTGCCAGATGTTTTGTATGGATAGTAGAGGTGAGAGTGAAATTTCCTTGCCTATAACCTACAGTTTTAGTCTTGTCATTGATTTCATTGATTGTTTTCTACTCTCCCATCCCTGAGGCCCCACCATCCCCCTTTATACCAACTTAATATGTTACCACTTTTATCATTTTGAAGCCACAAGATGTGCCTGACTCTACCTCTTACCAGCAGCTTGTGAAGGTCACTGGAGCCATATGCTTTTCTTGTTTCCAGAAAAGGAGAAAAACTAGTGTTTTGGAAATGTGGCTTTTAAATAGCTTAGATGCAAAGCCCAGAATTTGATTTTTTGGGAAAAACATGGACTGGGCTTTCGGTGAGTTAGTACTGGCCAATTTTTCACTCTCTTTCAATATCTTGCAGCTGTAAGGCTGTTTTGAGATGGTGTGTGTGTATGTATGTGTATGTATTTGTAGGCTATAGTTGGGGTATATATCCTTAGAAAAACCCTGATATTTAAACCACACGGGGCACGTGAATATCTTTTTGAGAATTGGTAATGTGAATCTTTGTAAAAGGACAGTGTTTTCCTATCAAGAATAAGTAAGAGGTTGTTTTAAAAGGGGAAGCAGAAAAATAAGAAGAGTGTCTGGCACATAATAGAAGCTCAGCAAAAAAATTAATGAACCTATGCAGCTGCCCTTAGGAGGAAGAGAAGTCCTCCTAGAACTCCTTTCCAAACAGGATAATTGGGAGTTGGTCTCCTTTCACTTCTACCAGGATGGGAACAGCCTCCTGTAATTTCAGTTTGATAAACGCAGTATTTATAGTCTTGGCTAAGAGGGGGGAAAAAGGAATTTTCCTCTGAGGCACTTGCAGTGGCTAGGCAAGGGGACACAGGCCCATGACTCATTTGCTCTGCCTGAACCCATGTGTGGTTACCCCAGTGTCTTGGCCCCACACAGGATGGAGAAACAAAAGGGAGATTTACTGCGTTTCCAGCGCCCTGTCTGTCTATTGCTTCTTTAGGTACTCACACCTTGAGGCATTTTAACTGCCCAAGGTGTCTGTGCTTATAAGACAACCTCTCAGAGCTGATTTGTCTATGGGGATACCATAAACTACAGTACCAGAAATTATATATATATATATACACACACACATGTCATTAATTCTTTACTGGGAAATATAACACACATATAGAAAACTGTATAAAATAAATGTATAGCTTAATAAATTGTTATAAATTTAACTGCCACCCAGGTCAAGACATAGAGTACTGCCAGGACTCCAGAAGCTTTCCAAGAGCCCTTTCCAGTGCAACCCCTCTCTTTCCCATTAAGGTGGTACTACCCTTACCCCATGCACCGGGGTCTCTGTGTTGGGCCTTGTGCTTTTGGGCTTCTGGCTGTCCTCCAGCCATGAACTTTCTCAAGGGGAAAGAGGTCTGTGGGGCCAAGAGACCATGCCCACCCGAGATCCATGTCTCCCTTTCTAGACCCCGTGCCAAGGACCAGGACATTGGGACTTCCTGTTCAGACGATTCCAAACCTACTTCCTGGTCTTTGTGGGCTCTTCCTTAAGTCCTTATTCCTGACGGGGGGCCTGGAAGCAGATATTCGTAAAAGGCCATGGGTGAAGGTAGACTTGAGGGCTCAAGAGTGATACATATGAGCACCAAGGCCCTTGGGTTATGGGATGGAGCAGGGCTGGGGCATAAGGGTAGATGGCTGGGTCTAGGGGTGGCTTCTTCCTGTGGCACATGTTACAGCAGGAAGACCCAAGCAGTCCAAGAATTCTAAGGTCCAACGTGGTTTCTCAGGTCACTATGAAGAGACATTTGTCCAAGTAGGAGGATGGGACATCTTTTTTTTTTTTTTTTTTTTTTTTTTGATACGAAGTCTGGCTCTGTCACCCAGGCTGGAGTGCAGTGGCGCAATCTCGGCTCACTGCAAGCTCCGCCTCCCAGGTTCACGCCATTCTCCTGCCTCAGCCTCCCGAGTAGCTGGGACTACAGGCGCCCGCCACTACGCTGGGCTAATTTTTTGTATTTTTAGTAGAGACGGGGTTTCATCGTGTTAGCCAGGATGGTCTTAATCTCCTTACCTCGTGATCCGCCCACCTCAGCCTCCCAAAGTGCTGGGATTACAGGCGTGAGCCACCGCGCCCGGCCGGGACATCTTTTATTTAACAGCTTGTTAGTTTAATTTATAATTTTACAATATTTAGACCCATAATATGCAGTTCTCCATCTGTACTTCTACCTTAAGCCCCACAAAAAATTGTTTTTTGTCATGCTCCAAGGAATCCTGATAATTTATTATTTGGGAGAATATCAGGCATTGATCCTTTGTTTTAAACTCATGATAAGAATCAGATAATATACATTTTGAAGTGATGTCAAAGGAAAAGAATAATTCCATATGATATATATTGCAGATTTTTATTTGTATATAAGCAAAGCAGCGTCTAAAGTATACTTATGTGTCCTCAATTACTGAATGTGCCAGTTGTCTGTTAACGGTGGGCCTGCCTACAGGTGACTACCTGGACTGTTCTCGTCATTCCCTCCTTAGTTTTCTCTGTGCTTTACTATGTCACTTGGCACTCCTATACAATAAAGTGACTTCCCCTGTTTTTAAACTTTGGATAAATGGATCACAGCATATGATCTTTTGTGTCAGCTTCTCCCACTCAGCATTAGGTTTGAGCAATGCATCTGTGTTATTGCCTGTAGCTGTAGTTTGTAATTTGCATTGCTGTATGGTATTCCACTGTATGGATATGCCAACATTTTTCCATCCTATTAATAATGTTCACAGACAATTGTGTTGTTTCCAGTACTAGCCCATTATGAATAATAATGCTACGTAGATCTTTATCTGTTTCTGTTGTGTTTATGTGGAATTGCTGGATGATAGGTTTCCCTCCATCCCTCCCTGCCTTCCTGCCTTCCTTGTTTCTTTGTGTTGCCCAGGCTGCCTCAAGGGATTCTCTTGCCTCAGCCTCCTGAGTAGCTGGGACTACAGGCTCACAGAACCTTGCCTGCTTTGTTTTCAGCTTTAACAGAAAATACCAAACTGTTTCCAAAGTGGTCGTATCAATCGATATTCTCATCAACAAGGTATAATAGCTCCCATTGCTTCTGACAATGTTTAGTATTTTTTTTAAATGTTGACCATTTTGTACTAGGAATAACATTAGTGTGTCACCACCCCTCTAAAACATTTATGGGTTTTTCTTCTCCTTTATTTGTATATGAAGATACTGAAGTGAATATGGTAACTTGGAGTTTCAAGTTGACTGCTAATAACATCAGTAGAGGTATAGAATAGTAATATCAATAATATTTATAATAATATCCATAGTTTTTATTTGAAATATGGCAGCTAAGGGAAGATTGGTAGTCTTAGAAGATTACAGCAATAAAATCCAAGATGTAAACAGAGTCACTCCATACTGCATTTTAAAGTAACAGAGAAATGAGCTGACTGATCCAGGGGATACATCGACACGCCACTAGGAGGGCAGCTGGTACCAACCTCATCCTTTCACAGGGGTGTGTGTCCCCAGAGCATGCTCTGAGCGTTGTGGCAGCACTGAGCACAAATTGCTGAATTGCCCAGCTGGGACCAGTCAGGACCACTGCAGAGGAGGGAGACCATCTGGGGAGCCTGTCAGCCTGCAGCTCATTAGTATGGCACATCTGGCAGCATCTGTTCCTCCAGGAAGCAGCAACAGCCATGCGCTCCGAAAGCAAGGGGCATGAGCAGGCCTCTTCAGCAGAAATAGCCACAGCCTCCTCACATGCCCACTTCCCTCTCTGCCCACTGAAACCCCTGAGCTTCCCTACTTCACCCTCCTCTTGCCAATATGCTCAACCTCCTTGCCGTTTGTCCTTTTAATGCATTGCCCTGGCCAAAGCCCAGCTTTGGATGAACTCAACTGTTTACTTACTCTGCATCAATCGCCCAGCTATTGAGCATGGCTGGCAAAACCACACACCCTGCAGATGGTGCCACTGCAACCTCAGGGCCACCAATGCCATCTAGACCCTTGTTACTGTCAGGCAGCCTTCTGTAGTTCCCTGGCCAGCTCACCCTCCTCTTCTCCTATTTTTCTAATTAAAATGAGAGTAGATTATCTTCTGCAATGCTACATTGAATGGGGCCTAGTCTAGAAACAGCAGGCTGTTGCAGTTTATACACAGCGGATGTTTCAAACTTTCCCCATGTTTTTCAATGTCTCTGGTTTTATTTGCTGTCTTTCTTCTGAGCCCCAATCTTAAACCCTGCTGTTAACCTCAGTAGGCAGTCTCCCCACCTGCTCCACAAAGAAAGCAGGCGCCCTCTGAAATGAACTTCCTCAACTTCCCTCCTCCACATCTGCAGATTGACTTCACATTTCAACTCATCCCTTTTTCCTTCCCTCATCCTTGTAACAATAAGGAAAATGTGTCCTCTCATGCCCAAGTGAATCCCTCCACCTGTCACCTGCCACTGAATGCCATCCTGTCTTGCCTTCTATGGGACTTTTCTCCATATATGACCTCTCTCCTGACTTGCTCCCAGCAGTCACCCCTTTCCTTTAAGACCCTGAAGTCAGGTTTTCCCCTAGCTGACTGAGTCCTTCAGCTCACACGGCCTTCATCCAGGCAGGGCAGGAGGATTGAATTGTGTACCCCCAAATTCATATGTTAAATTCCTAACCCCCAGTATCTCAGAATGGGACCTTATTTGGAAATAAAGTCATTGCAGATGTAATTAGTTAAGATGAGGTCCTACTAGAGCAGGGTGGGCCCCTCATCCAACTGGACTGATGTCCTTATAAAGAGGAGCAATACGGAGAGGAAAGCTGATATGAAGAAACATGGGCAGATTCTTTCCTTACAGCCCTCTCAAGCCACCAACCCTACCGACCCGTTGGTCTCTCCCAGCCTCCCGAGCTGTGAAACGATCGATTTCTGTTTAAGCCCTGCAGTCTGTGGTGCTTTGTGACAGCATCCCTGGGAAACTGCATTAGAATTCTGCTTACTGACTTTTCCATCTTATGCAAGTTAGTTTGTTTCCCTCTCTAAGCTTCAATCTCTTCATCAAGAAAAGGAGATACAGGAGCACTTACCTCATGAGATGTTTGTGAATATTAAATAAAAAGAAGGAAGTAACATGTTAATCACAGTGCCTGGCTGTATTAGTTTGCTAGAGCTGCCATAATAAAATATTACAGACTGGGTCGGGTGCAGTGGCTCACGCCTGTAATCCTAGCACTTTGGGTCGGGCGCAGAAGAAATTCCAGTTCCTCCGTTTTCACTGGTGACAGTCTGGTGCTTGCTTTCTCTCCCTCACCAACCGGGCTCTTCCCAACATCCCTTGCTCTAAATCCTTTTTCCTAAACCCAGTGGCCCACTTTGAGTCTGACTTTACTTGACATCTCTGCAAGATTTCACACCATTGACCACGTTTCCCCTTTTAAATGATGCTCTTTCCTTGGTGCTAGTCTGTCTGGGTGTTTCTCTTCACCTCCCATCATGGCACTGAGCCTCCAGTTCTGTCCTCAGCCTCCTCTACTTTCACCACCTGCAGCCACAACTTCAGTTTCCACCTACAGCTTCAGGACTCCTGAACCTGTCTCTCCAGCCCAAGCATTCTCTCCAGCTGGCCCTGGACAGCTCCCCGTGATGCCCCTCTCCCACCCTGTGCTCCACCTCTCCAAAAGACACACCCCATCTGTTAATCCAAATGGATATTTTCAGCTTTGGTCTCCTCTCAGTGAATGGCACCACCACCCACACTAGATGCTGGGCCTCATCCTAATGGTTTCCATTGTCCATCTTCCCCATGGCCTCATCCTAATGGTTTCCATTGTCTATCTTCCCCATGGCTTTCAAGATGTCCTCTCGACGATGCCTCCTGCAGTGCTCTTGTACCTCTCCATTCCTCTCTGTCCCTACTGCTGTCATGTTCAGGCCACTTCCATTCTCATCTGGATTACTGCATTGGCCCTTGAGACTTGGCTCATCTCTCTATAACCCTTTCTTCATGCTGTAGCCAGAGCTGATGTCTCTAAAATGTCAACTGTGTCATGTGAGTTCCCAATCTCTAAACTTTTTAGTCAGCTAATGAAATTTTAATATTATGGAATTACTATGGAAATGTTTTAAGTTTGATAATGGTATTATAATTTTATATTATATATATTATATATATATATATATATTTTTAAAGAGTCTTTGTCTTTTGAAGATTCATACTGAGTATTTGCAGGCCAATAACCCAGTGGGGTGGGGAAAGTGGGGAGACGTAAAACAAGGTTTTCCATGTGCTGAGAATTATTGAAGCTAGGTAATTGATACTACTCTTTCTACTTTTGAAACATTCTACAATAAAATGTTTTTAAAAGAAAATCCCTAAACCCAAGCAAAACAAAAAGTACTGCAATGTCTTTCTTATTGTTCTTAAGACAATGTCCAAAATTCTTAAGGTGACTCATAAGGCCATGCATGGTCTGGCCTCTGTCTACCTGTTTTTCAAGTGCAGGACCCCTAGGACTTATTGAAGGTTTGTGAAGTGGATGGATGGATAGATGGATTAGTGGGTAGATAGATGGATGGGTAGATGAATGGATGGGTAGATGAATGGATGGATGAATAGATGGATGGTTGGTGGATGGGTAGATAGATGAATATCTAGATGGGTGGATGGATCAATGGGTAGATATATGATGGATGGATGGATGGATAAATGAATAGATAGATGGTGGGTGGATGGATGGATGGATGAATAGAAAATTGGGTGGATTGTTGAATGGATGGGTGGATTAATGAACGGATGGATGGGTGGATAGATAGTGGATGGATGGCTGAGTAGATGGATGGTGGATGGGTGGATGGATAGGTGAAGGGGTGGATGGATGGATAGATGAATAGATGGATGGGTGGGTGGGTGGATGAATGGAATGATGGATGGATGGATATATGAGTGGGTAGATAGATGGATGGATGGCAGATGAATGAATAGATGGATGGGTGGATGGATAGGTGAATGGGTGGATGGATGGATAGATGGGTGGATAGATGAATAGATGGATGGGTGGGTGGGTGAATGGAAGGATGGATGGATGGATGAGTGGATGGATGGATGGGTGGAAAGAGAATAGGAAAGGATCCTATGTTCCTACCCTCACTCTGCAAGTAACTTTCTTTGAGACCTTTGACCTCTCACTCTCTTTGGATCTCAGTTTCCTCATTTGCGACGGGAAGAGTAAACAAGCTCATTTTTTAGGAGAAAGGTGCCAATTTTAATTCTTTTATTATTTTGGAAGTCACGGTAATATTTGTTTTTAAAAATTGTTTCATTGTTAAAAAATAAAAAATTTACATCTTCTGGATTAGGTGACATTTCAGATCCTTCCCAACTGCAATAGACTGTGATTATAGGGAGGTTTTACAAGTTAAAACATATGGATTTGGAGAACACACAGCACAGATTTTTCTCAAAAATCCTGATTTAATAAAATTTATTTTTTTCTAGTAAAGGAACTTGTTATAGGACTTACTAACACAATTCAATTTGTAAGCCTTTTAAAGACACCCTTATAAAACATTCGCAAATTAGAAAAGCAGGCTTTTCTTGGACCATATGTTGAGATTTGGGGTTTAGAAGTATGCTCACTGTCCACATGGTGCAAGCAAGCACTCTACATAAACAGGACCTTTGGATGAGGAGATCCTTGTGGATTATAACTGTGGCTGCTCCATCTTTGTTACCCCAGCTCAGCACCTGGTGCATAGTAAGTGCTCAGTAAAATTTGGCTTTAAATGAGGACGTAGGATGAAGAAGACTCTCAGTGGGGCTCTGTTAGAATTTTCAGTGATAGGAAAGGAAAATAACTTCCTTCCAAAGAAAGGAGTGGGTGGGGAGAAAGCTAGAAATATGGATGAAGGAAGGCGTACTCTTGGACCAAGCATGGGTAAAAATGGCAGGTCTTCTGCCTGTAGGGTGTTTCTCTCTATAGATTGAAATAAGCATGATTGAGCAAGGCAGCTTTTATGCCCCCTCAAAACAGCCTAGGTTCCTGATTTCCTGGCTAATCCACTTCATTTCCTACACTGAGGCTTGTGGACCATCCAGTCTATGTTTTTTCTTATCTCTCTTTGGATGTTTCTCTAGTCTGATATCTGACCCAGGTTTTCCAAACTTCTGTAACTCCCATTCAACCATGTGCAGCTGGCAGCACATGATGGTATTCACAGCAGGAAGAACTGTGGCCTGCAAGTCAGGAGACCTGGGCTCGACTCTCAGGTGTGCAACTTCAGGCAGTTCAGCCATTCCTGAGTCTCAGTTTCCTCAGGCATCAAATAAAGAGATCAGACAAAAATGCATCCTCAGTTTTGTATCTTATTTAGGTTATAACCTGGATATATAATTAGTGGGATACCAGAAAAGGCCTTTATCAGTTATGAATATTATAAATTGAGTGAAGCTCTCTGGTTAGCTTGTCGCCAAATGAGTAGTGTCCTAGGGGAATGGAGACTGATCTAGCTCTGTCTCCCTGATGGTTCTGCCTTAGGGTAATTCTGGGCCCAGGATCAATGCAGCCAACAGAACTACTTCCTGGGCTGCTAACAGTATCTGAAGCAGAGGTCTGTAGAAACTACAGAATCACTGACTTGTCTTCCTTAGCAACTTTATTTCCTCAGGCTGTGGAGCCCTACCAAGATTTTGCTTGACAGTTAATGAGGGAGTCCTTCTACCACGTTGGGATTCACACAGTTTATTTTGGTAGGTAACTAAGGCAGACAGAGATCATTAAACCCTTCATAAAACAGCCCATCAGCCACCTGCTTGCAGAGCAAAAGGCTGCTCTTTGGCAGGAAAGACTGTGTTCTTCAGCCCACTCTTGGGTCCCATGCAAGATTCTAATGAGGTTGCCTGTGAAAACTTTTTGGTTATGATATATTTCTTTCCATTTGTATAAAAGCAACCAATAAATACCAGTGATCTTGTCAGGCCATGCCAAAGAAGAATTTGTTGGGGATTTAATATCCCAATGCATTGGACATACTTGAATTTGGCTGAACAGCCAAATTGGGTGGTTTGGCTCAATTTAACCAGTTTAAATGTTGTTGGTGTATAGCTTTGCAAATGACTTTGGTTCTTACTGAATGATCACTGGAGGGGATTGGCTTATAAATGAATTCAAAATCCTCAGGTGTGTTTTAAAGATCTACAAAACAAGTCTCTCCTTTGTTGTAAATGGGCAAGACTCAATAAAGAGAGTGAGATGAAAAGAGCTATTAGTTCATCTGTTAGGGCATCCAAATATGCACCCAGAAGGCATAGCAACAAATAATTCATGCTTTAACATGTTCTACAAACAGCAAGGTATTCCAAACTACTGCCAACCACCTGACCAGGAAAAAGGGCATGGTGGTGATCATGAAATAATTGAGGGTAAAAGGCAGGGTTATAAGTCCTTTAAACCCTTTTGAGCTTAGGTAATGTCTTGCTGGGCACGTGGCTCTGATTCTTTCTCTGGTCTTTGCCAGCAGATTTTTAGGAATCTCCTGGCAGAAGAGCATTGTTTGTGGCACCTTCCACTTCTGCAGCACTCTTGGATGCTGACTATTTACAAGGACTTTCAACTGCCTCCTTCACCCATCTGGTATTAATTTTTATTTCTTCGTTATTGAGTCTCTGATTCATCTCTACGCAGACCTTTGAGTTTCCTGAAGGCTTTGCTTCCCCAGACAGGGTGCCCCACCCAAGTAAGTTCACTTGCTGTTTGCTTTGAGGAAAGTCAGGATCTAGAGTTCCCCAGCTCAGAGAACAAGACTATGACTCACTTTATCATCAAAGTCAGGATGGAGAGGATTTCCTTCATCTCCCTTTACTCTCACTCCCACGTCTGATCGTCTCATGGGTAATGGGGTCTTGGCATTTCTAGCTTGTAGGATCTCCCAGCTCCCTTCATTCTGTCCTGTGTCTCCATCTCAGTTGCCTCTGTCTTAGCTCACAGTCTCTCTCCTGGACTGTTGCAATTGTCTTCATATTGTATCCTAAAGGCAATGGGGTAGGCTTGGAAATGCTTTCAGTGGGAATTAACTCGATCACATTTTCTTGCATAAGAATCACACTGAAAATAGTCACTAATTCATTGAAGGGGCAGTTGAAATGGAGGTGGAGAGAAATCCATTATAAAGCTATACTCCAGTTGAGAATTATAAGGAAGGTTCGGATTAAGCTGGAGACAGGGACAGTGAAGAGGAGAGGAAATGGATATTTAGCAAGGAGAACCGAAAGAGCATAGTAACTGATTTGAATTACAAGGTGGGAGACGGAGCCGTTGGTAATAAATGTCTCCTGGATAAAACCTCTGGAGACTGCATGGATGCTAGTATCATTCTGAGAAAGAAGAAATTAAGAATTAAGTCTACGGGGGAAATGGTGAATTTGAATGCGGCATGTTAAGTTCCAGTTTCATGTGGAGACTATCCAATGGGGAGAGAATCTGTAAGCAGTTATATATCCCAAGTCTGAGATTCAGAGAGAGAGAATGTTGAAGACAGAGATTTTATAGTCATGAGCCTAGAGCTGGCAGTTAAAGCAAGAGAGCTTATAACATCTGCCAGACAGAGCTTGTTAAATGAGATAGGGGGCCAGGCACGGTGACTCACACTTGTAATCCCAGCACTCTGAGAGGCCGAGGCGGGCAGATCACCTCAGGTCAGGAGTTTGAGACCAGCCTGGCCAACATGGTGAAACCCCGTCTCTACTAAAAATACAAAAATTAGCTGGGTATGGGGGTGCGGGCCTGTGATCCCAGCTACTCGGGAGGCTGAGGAAGGAGAATTGCTTGAAACTGGGAGGTGGAGGTAGCAGTGAGTACTCCAGCCTGGGCTATAGGGTGAGGCTCCGTCTCAAAAAAATAAATTAAAAAAAAAAAAGATAGATAGGAAGATGGTAGGATCCTGGGGACTATCACTCCTAGAGGGCCGCACAGAGAAGAGAGGCCTGAAGGAGAGATTCAGGATGGTGCGTTATTACACAAAGAACAGAGGAAAGAACTTGACAATTAGATTATGCAGATTCTTGAGATCAGTTTCAAGAAAATGATGGGGACAGGCGCCAACTGCCGCTGGGTTGACTTGTGAATGAGAGATGAGAAACTGCAGACAGTCTAGACTTCTCTTTCTAGAAACTTGGCTGTAAAGAAAAGATGATAAACGGGAAATGGGTGACAGCATGCGTGGCCAGTGCACCCGAGAACAGGAAGGCACACGTGATAGTTAATTCTATGCGTCCACCTGACTAGGCCACAGGATGTCCAGACATTTGGGCAAACATTATTCTGGGTGTTCTGAGGGTGTTTTGAAATGAGATTAACGTGTAAATCAGTAAATTGAGTAAAGCAGGTGGCCCTCCCGATGCAGGTGGGCCTTGTTCAATCAGTTGAAGGCCTGAATAGAACAAAAAGGTGGACCTTCCCCTGAGCAAGAGAGAAATCCTCCTGCTTGGTCGTCTTTGAACTAGAACATTGGCTTTTTCTCACCTTTGGACTTAAATGGAGATATCAGATCTTCCTGGGTCTCAAACCTGCTGGCCTTTGTGCTAGAGCTATGTGATCCGCTCTCCTGGGTTCCAGAGCCTCAGACGCAGACAGGAACCACACCATCAGCTCTCTTGGGTCCCCAGTTTGCCAACTCATTCTGCAGATCTTGGGACCTGCCTGCCTCCATGATCACATGAGCCAAGTTCTTACAAGAAATCACTTTCTAAATATATATGTGTATCTTATTGGTTCTGAGAACCCTGAGTAATGCAGCACAAAATGGAAAAGAAAAGAGAAAAATAGAAAAGAAGGAAGGAAGGAGGGGTGAGAGGAAGGTGTGGAGCGGGGGATGAGAAACACAGCCTCTGTGCTTTGCAAGTGTGGGGAGACGGCGGGTCACTGCATCATTGTCTGTGATCGCTGACGGCGTTGATGACTCACTCATGTTACATAATTAGAATTCACCTTCAGACTTTGCTGTCTTACCATTTCGTCTCATAGAAACAAGGCTTCCTAGCTTGGCTTGTTTTCTTGTTACTCAGGGGCTGTTGCTAGCATAAGGTCATACTTAGAAAGCTGAACCCTCAATAAGATTACTCAGAGACTTGGCAGCTTTTTCCCTGGCCATTTTGTCTTTAAGTTAAAAAAAAACAACAGAAAACAGCTCACTCTTCTAAAATGACATTACACATCACTTTGAAATATGTCCTGTAGGCCAGCCCTGAAATGTATGGTCTTTCTGGACATTCATTGGAGAGAAGCTCTGTTTTTAAAAATGTAAAAAAAAAAAATTGTTTTACTCTAAAAGAGCGTCTCTGATAACCCAGTTTTTAGGAAACTATTGGCTGAAAAGAAACAACAGGAGAGGTGAGAATTTGTCCAGTTTATACCTAATTCATTTCTGCCATTATCCCATTCTGGGATAACTTCAGAAACCACGAGGGCCATTTAACCAAGAGATTTATTGGGCCTTAGAGTTCATTATGTTTCTGCCTTGTTTTTATAATGCTTTTGTTATAATATTAAAGTGACAAAGATAAACAACTTTATTTGTGGTTGTGCAGATGCCATGTGGAATATCTGCTCGGCTTGAAAAGATTCCCCTGGCTCTTCTGCCCACTCAGAACAGCGGGACCCACATTTCAGCTTGGACAACATGACCAAGCTCTGCTGTTCACAGCTGCCTGGCCCAGGCTGGGTGCCTGGCCCCAAGTTCAGGGCCAACGCCCTTTTCTGGGAATGGGGAATCAAAGCAGAAAAGCATCCTGTGCACTCACACTCTCACACACCCACACACTCACATGCACACTCACATGCACACTAACATACACACAAGTCTCACACTCACACACACTCATGCACCCTCACATACAGTCACACATGCACACTCACACACTAACATGTACACACACACTGGTACACACTCACACTAACAAGCAAATAATCACACACTCATGCACACACACACTAACATGCACACTCACACTAACATGCGGACACACACTAACATGCGGACACACACACTAATATGCACTCACACTAACGCACACACTAACCATGCACACTCACACTCACACACACACACACTAACATGCACACTCACACATGCCACACACTAACATGCACACATACACAAACATGGACACTCACACAAACATGCACACACAAACATGCACACTCACACACTAACATGCACACACACACTAACATGCACACTAACATGCACACTCACGCACACTAACATGCACACTCACACACTGGTGCACACTTGCACTAACAAGCAAATACACTCACGCACTCATGCACACTCACACACTCATACACACTAACATGCACACATGCACACAAAGTCTGTCTCCAACTGTGAATTTGGTCACTATGAGCTTCCACCTTTACCTGTTGTGAGGATTGAATAGAAGAGAGGAAAAAAATATTTCAAGAAAGAAGATCCAAATAGAAGCAGCAATGGGTGACAGGCCCTGTATCCTTGGCTGTCCTGTGGTCTCCCAGCTCCTGGATGCTGTCCCTCCTGGGAGCACGGCTGCACTCCTGCCTACTGTACCATGAGATGTGTCCTTCTTCTTACAGTGACCACGCCCTGCCGCTCTTTCTCCCCCAGTCCACTGCCAAGCTGAGTTGAACTGTATTTTGTTACTCACAGTCAAAAAAATCCTAATTCATTAGGTTACGATTTTAAAAATAAAAATATATCTTTCTTGGGTTGTATCATAAAGAATCAGGTTTGAGAATTTTGATGGTTGTGGCTTGGGAAGTGAGAGGGGGAACCTGGTCTTCTAATTAAATAACCTTCTATACTCTCTCGCCTTTTTCTTATCCCAGGAAAGCCTCAGGAACTTGTTGCAATAGGGACTGCCAGGTCCCGTTGCACTATTGGTGGAAGAGAGGTCCACACGGTGCCTACGATAAGCGATTTGTTCGTATCTATCCAGACTGCAGGTGCATACAGCCACTCATCCTCAAATGCCATCCTCAGGAGTTTATGCTGCACACAGACTGGCACATGTGCAGGAAGACATAGTGCAGGGCTACGTGCTACAACATTGTTGGTGACAGCAACATATTGGAAGCAACCTGAATTTTTGTTAATAGAGGATTGGCTACATAAATGATGCTAATCTATACAACTGGAGTACTATGATGCCATAAAAAAGAATGTACAAGGTCTTTACGTTTGGAAAGATCTCTAAGATATAATGGTGAGTGAAAAGTGTAAGATGCAGAGCACTGTGTTTTACAGGCTGTCATTTGGGGGCTGACAACATCTATTCAAATGTGCTTTCATATATATTGAAAGCACTTTGGAAGGAAAAACATCAAATCAGTACCAATGGTTTACTTGTGTGTATGAATGTGTGTATGGCAGGGGTGGGGTGGGGGTAGGTGGCTTAGGTACAAGACAGGAATAGCAAAGAGACTTTTTAACCATATACCTCTTAAGAGGTTAAAAAAAAAACCTGTTGAAGCATGTGTTGTTAACCATGACAGAGAGAGAGAGAATGAAGGGAGGGAGATAGGGAATGAAAGAAAAAGAGGGAGGGAAATGGAGGGGCAAAGAAAGGAAGGAAGGAAGAAGGGAGGGACAGAAGGAAGGAGGGAGGGAAAGAAGGAAGGAGGGAGGGAAAGAAGGAAGGAGGGAGGGAAAGAAGGAAGGAGGGAGGAAGGAAGGGAGGGAGGGAGGGAATTGGCTCTTTCCTGAAGCTACAGCTTAACAAATAAAAGCGAAGGCCACCAGCAGCGATGGTTTGAGAGGTGAAGGATGACGTAGTCATGACTCCGAGAGCTGAATTCCCTGCGCATAGTGTGAGTGAAAACCTGTGTGCGTTACATCACAGAAAGCTATTCAAAATGCCGTGAGCCCAGTGAGGTCTGCAGGACAGACATACAATTGCTTGCAAACAAGTAGCAGGACAATGAGCTTTGTTTCGTGTTTATCGGCAGATTTTCTTTGCCTCTCAAGGGAGCTGGGAGAAACTCAAGTCTGAAACTCAAACTCATCTCAGTCATTCCTTTCCCTTCAACTAGACCTGAACCTCAGGAGATCTGGAGTATGTGCTGAATTCTACTGGGAACTGAGCCCTCTGAATATTATTATTGTTTTGCTAATACTTTTTGCTGGAAAGTACATCAAACCAGGATGTGTTGTACCTCTTGCTTTGCCAGACTATTTAAAAGCAAAAGTGACCAGATATCCAACTTAAGGCTGATCCAGGTTTTTCATGATCTAGCCAGGGGAGACAAACCTTCCAGGAAAGTCTCTAGCGAAGGCCAAGGATTTTAGAAAGTATCTGTGAACAAAGAAATGCAATGTTAGTGGGCTAATTTCCATAATCAAATGAAGCTGATGCAAGTGCTTTGTGAATTGATGCCCATCAACGAGAGACTGGATAAAGAAAATGTGGCACATATACGCCATGGAATACTATGTAGCCGTAAAAATGAACAAGTTCATGTCCTTTACAGGGACATGGATGAAGCTGGAAATCATCATCCTCAGCCAATTAACCCAGGAACAGAAAACCAAACACCACATGTTCTCACTCATAAGTGGGAGCTGAACAATAAGAACACGTGAACACAGGGAGGGAAACATCACATAGCAGGGCCTGTTGGTGGGCCGGGGGCAAGGGAAGGGAGAGCATTAGGACAAATATCTAATGCATGCGGGGCTTAAAACCTAGATGACGGGTTGATAGGTGCAGCAAACCACCATGGCACACGTATACCTGTGTAACAAACCTGCACATTCTGCACATGTATCCCAGAACTTAAAAAAAAAAAGAAATGCTTTGTGAATTAGTCAGGTTCACTGATGGGAGCTTTGGTCCTGGCACCTGAGGACTGAGCTGGGGGAACCCACACCCAGGCTGCCCAAACACACAGAGGCAGGAGAGGTCAAGGGGCATCTCGTGGGTGTGGAGTTTTGGACACGGTATTGCCATTGTCAGACATGTGGCTAAGCCTGCAAGGATGAGAGAGGAAGGAGGAAACCAGCTCCTCTCAACCCTGCATCAGCCTGAGTGCTTTCAATCTCTCTCAACCCTTCTCCTCTCTTTTCTCTTTTCTCCTTCCCTCCTTCCCTGATGGTTTGCCAGGAAGCACAGAATAATGGAGTTCAGTGTTACTCAAGGGGCAGTCACCTGCACAGTCATTACCGGAATGACGTGTTTCATCAGATGTTTCAAATCCCGATTCTTGGGGCCTGCTCTAAACCTGCCTACCAAGGCTCTAGGGGCGAGGCCTGGGGACCTGCATTGTTTGCAAACACCCACAGGTGATTCTTACATGCACGAAGCCAGGGAAGCATTGATAGAAAAGGTCTTAGACCAGCAGCCAAAAAACCCAAGTTCAAATCCATTTACTACCTGGGTGGTCTTGGGCAAGTTACTTATTAATTCCCGGCATGGGAGTCAATACTACTTTATAGGAATTTTTTATAAGTTATAGGAGATACGCTGTTATGTTATAGGAGTTATTTTTTTCTCTTTGAAGATTAAAAGAGACAAAACATATGACAAGGCTGGCAAACATTGAGCTCTTGCTACATAGTAGTACACAGTGCCCTAGAGAGTTAGCAAAGGGACGGTGAGCTCACAAAAATCTTTGTAGGCCTCAGGATATATATATTTTGCAGTGACTTTCAAGGCTGATCTAACTCTCTTTGGATGAACACAGAGCAAGGAGACTTGCCCACTGAGTGACTTTACTATACCCCCAGGCCTTACTAACTTGCCCAGGAGTGGGGAATATAGTGCTAGAAGGAAGCCAAAGCAATAAAGAGACACTTTCAGAAAAGCAGGCACTGCAAAGACAACCATTCCAGCTGGAAGAGCATGTGGTGGGAGTGGCGTCCTCTCAGACATGATCCTCTGCAGGGCTCATGGGCTCAAAGTCACAGGTTCTCACCAAGGGTGATGATTTCCCACAGGGAGCATCTAGCAACGTCTGGAGACATTTTTGTCACAGGGTAGGGAAAGGGGGTTGCTACTAGCATGCAGTGAACAGAGGCCAGAGAGGCTGCTAAACATCCTACGGTACACTGGACAGTCTTCCACAACAGAAAACTGTCTGGCCCCAAATGTTCATGGTTTCAAGGCTGAAAAACACTGCTCTAAGCTAATGCAGAAGACTTAGTCATGGGTGATAGAAGGAGGCCCCTAGGTGGCTACAAACCTCTGAGGGACAGCCTTCCGCTGTGGTGTTGCAAAGTCTCCCAGTTGCACAAGGTCCTGGCGTCCTGCTCATTGGTGGATCACCATTAACCACCTTGCACGTCACATGTTCAACATAGCTAGTTTCCCACCCATTCTTAACGATGATAAATCAGGAAAAGCATTCTTAGAACACTAGAAAAGCAGAAGTGTGGCTCTCTACAGGGCAGCGGGGAGGTTGCCTCACTCCTAGAAGATGTCTTGTTTTTACCAAGAGGGTAGAGGGATGAGAGGAGCTGGAAGACCACGCTGAGGAGCCACGTCCAGACACATGAAACGAACCTCACAGCCCCACAAGGATGCCGGGGAGGGCACTCAGTGCTTGGGATCAGAGCCACGTGGCCACTGGTTTCCGATGCCCCTTTGCTAGTATCTGGCTTCCGTGATTCCCTTGCCTTCATTTTGTGGCTCTCTCCTGACACTGCCGGCTGAGTGTCTTAGTTAACCAGTAATCTGGCTTTTCTCCCTCCACTTTGATCTTCCTGTCTCTGCCTGTCTCCTCTTTCCTGGCATGGCATGTGCTCTCGGGCTGTACCTCTGGTAGTGAATCTCTGGCTGCCCTGGACTCCTGCTGTGCACACTGCCCTGTGTGCAGGTCTGGATGCCTGGTGTTCCTTCTCAGTGCACCGCCCGATCCCCTGGGATCTCTTCACCATTTTCATGCATGGTGCCACCCCACGTGCAGGGCCAGCTTCATGGCACGTCACCTGTGTGCTTGCATAGGACTTGGTGCTCAGAAGGACTTCTTGATGGGTTTCATGCTCTGCGGCCACCGTATTAAAATTGTAATAATTTCCTCTTGAAACTTGTATTTTGTAAGTGACTTCTGATGAGACAGCATGGAATGAGCAGAAACACAGGAGATACGTGTGCCTGTCCTTTCTTGTCACCCTATTCACATGGAGCATTCGCCATGAACTCAGAATTCTGGTGTATTCACAATGTGTGGGAGTTCATGAAGCTTCTAAGTGACTCCCAAGTGTGTTTTGTCTATGATGAGTTAGCTGGGGAGGGGGAGGGACACTGACAGCCCTGAGAGGCCACACTTTCCATTTGAAAACCAAAACTTGCTTCAAACACAAAGGCAGCAGTGGTATTCTAAGAAACACATATGACCAAGGAAACTTGGTTTGACCTTTCTTACTCATGTTACTTCTTTGCATTTGCAAACAACTTAAACTGAAAATGAAGACACAGAAAGAAATAGAAAGATAAGGCAACCCATAGGCCTTTTTTAAATTCTTCCTTACTTGTCAGTAAGCCAAAGGTAGAGAGCATTGATAGAACGTGCATGTATCAGGCCGGGCACGGTGGATTACGCCTGTAATCCCAGCACTTTGGGAGGCCGAGGTGGTGGATCACCTGAGGTCAGGAGTTTGAGACTAGCCTGGCCAACATGGCAAAACCCTGTCTCTACTAAAAATACAAAAATTAGCAGGGTGTGGTGCCGGGTGCCTGTAATCCCAGCTACTCGGGAGGCTGAAGCATGAGAATCATTTGAACCCAGGAGGCAGAGGTTGCAGTGAACTGAGATCATGCCACTGCACTCCAGCCTGGGTGACAGAGAGGGACTCTGTCTCAAAAAAAAAAAAAAAGAATGTGCATTATTGAGAAGCGAAATAAAAGCATTGAATTAGTTTTGTGCAGCATTTTCCACTGTTCTGGTAAGAATGAAATATGCAAATTGCATCATTTGGAACAATTTAGCATACAAATTAAATGCTCTTATATTTTCGTTTAAAGCTGGCTTTGCACAATATAAAGATGAATGGTAAGATTCATGCTAACAATTTAAAATTTTAATTTTCCTTTACTTAGAGTGGCATTAAATAGCGAATAAGAATGATTTTAAAAGCCTTGTGACAAGTCAAAAGAGAGACTGCAGAAGAAAAAAAGCGGCTTTTATTTTAGTACCTTTCACAGCAGAGGTTGTTTTTGTTCCTGCTTTTGAAAAAGGGCTCCTACATTTTCGGTTTGCACTGGCAAACCTTTTAATGAAACAGTAAAGCAAAGTTCCTTACATTAAAAAGGAGTCATTTTTAATCTCCCAGTCTACATAGACCCAATTTTCATTTTAACAAGTTTCTTGGCTGGGTGCAGAGGCTCAACGCCTGTAATCCCAGCACTTTGGGAGGCCGAGGCGGGCGGATCACCTGAGGCCAGGAGTTCGAGATCAGTCTGGCCAACATGGCGAAACCCCGTCTCTACTAAAAATACAGAAATTAGACAGGTGTCGTGGCACATGCCTGTAATCCCAGATACTTGGGAGGTTGAGGCAGGAGAATCTCTTGAACCCTGGAGGCGGAGGTTGCAGTGAACCGAGATCTTACCACTGTACTCTAGCCTGGGCAACAGAGCAAAAACCTCATCTCAAAAAAAAAAAAAAAAGGAAAAACAAAACAAAAAAAACCCCAAGTTTCTCCCAAGTCCGCTGGACTTTGTTATCAGAAGGTCTTATGAGCCGGGTATTTAGCTCTGCTGTGAGTTCAAAGCAACACAGGAATAAAGCACAGCTGCTGAACCCAGGTCCTCCCTGCTCATGATTATAGCTTGCTGTGGGACTCCACCAAAATTGCATTCTGTGTTTATGGCATCTAAGAAATTCTTGAGAGTGGTACTGATCTACCAATTAAACACACTGGTATGTTTGGCCCCATGTGGCAGACAAGGAAAAGGGTTTACATTTTCTTATGGGAAATATTTTCTTTCTCATGCTTAACTTTTATTGTTCACAGAGGTTTTCAAAGTATTGCCAAAGTCTATGAACACCATTCTGGAGTCACCTGGACATTCTAGACTTTCAGAGCGGCATGGGTGGTGTTTTACATTGTATTTTTTTCTATCCAGTGTGGATTCATATTTTTTAAATCATAAAAATTCACCAGCTTCCCTCTGCCCCTCCTGGCCTTTGTCACTGAGAACACAGGAGCACATGGGTGGCTGTCTGAGGCTTGGGCAAGGCCCTGGGCTTGCCTGGGGCCCAGCTGCCCCTGCCCCGTACCATCTTCCTTCCCCCTCCACTCAGGAACAAAAGGTCCCACGGTTCAGGCCATCTGGATTTGGAGCTGTCATTTATAGTCGCCCAAACTTTGAGGATGACTTACTTGTGAAAACATAAGAGATGCATTCAGATAGGAGAAACAATTTTGAGAACCAGGAAAAAGAGAGAAAGAGGTAGAGTTGTGTGGTGAGAAAAGGGATGAATTGGCAGTTGGAGACTTGGGTTTTAGGTAGAGTGACCATGTAACTTATTAATCAAACTGGATTTCTTTTGAGAGCGACAGGGATTCCTACTGGTGATGATGCTGGGACAACAGGAGCACATAGGGACTGTACTGGTGTGGCATGGCCACCATAGTTCTAGGGCATTAATCATCCAACTGTCAGCAAGTCACTTAACATCTCTGGGCCTCAACTTTTGAAGAAAGAGACAATCGGACTACAATTTCCTTAGTCCTTTTACCACTAAGGACCTCTTACTAATCTCTCTCCACAGTCTTCCTGATTTCAAAATTATCATATCAATTAGGTACTGAGTGATATATAATGAGTGCAAGTTCTGTCAATCAGAACTTTTGTCAGCATTGAAATAACCAGTTATTGCACCGCGTTCATACAGTTTTAGGCAAAAGAAAACTTGACATTTTAATACACCTGTGAGTCCTATTTAAAGTACATCGAACAGTTCTGACACCATTTTAGAAAATGATAATAGCTTTTGAGTCCCCTCCAGTATCTTCACAGTCAATAGACCTCGAAGTCTGGAGGTTGAAAGCCACGTTACTCGATGATCTGTTGGTTTATATCCAGTTCTAGTCTTCTCTGATCACCTGATAACTTCAGTGCCTCATGCTATAAAACACAGACAGAGAAAGACGATGGAAAGTGAAAGAGGGCCTGCTGGAAGTCAGAAGCTGCCGTCCATTAATGTGGGTCCAGCAAGAGGGCCTGTGTGAAGATGTTAGATGGGGAGGCAATCCCTCATGCTAGGGTGCCTGGACAAAGTTTCTGCAGAGGGAAAAGAGGATGCTTTGCCTTGGGGCAAATTTCCTCCTGGCTTAAGTCGTCTTAATCCACACCTGGGAGAATTCTTAGGGTGTATTCACAACATTAGGAGATCAACAGGGAGCAGGAATGGAACAGCTGTGCAACAGCTATCTCTTTGCTTCTCTTCCACTTATATGAGCTCACCCTAGGGGGAAAATGGACAGTCAAAAGCCTTCCACAGATCAATAACAGTGGGTAAATCTGAGGTCTGCAGAATCAAAGAGTGAAATAAATAAAGAACAGGCCTGCTGCCTGCTCCCATGGGTAGTACTAGCATTCTAGTTTCTGTGGCAATAAGCTTGCAATGTGCTCAGTGGGGGCAGTGCCACCCACCACGTGGTGCCTGGGAGTGCGTGCATTGGTGGGTGGATGGTTGTGACAATGACCAGAGGAGGACACCACTTGCATTCTGTGCCCTGTTGTGTGCTGGAGACACTCCCATAAGGAAGATTCATCCCACCCAAAATGTCAAAAGTATCTCCACTGAGAAACGCTGAATACAAGAATGGGCTTTACATTCATACATATCAGGAATTACTTGGATCCTGTAACAGGGTTAAAATAATCCTGGACAACTTCCTATGGTGCCAGACCCTTGGGCAGAACTTCCAGATGAAGCAGATTGATTCTAATTGCTCCTGGATAAAAGAAAAGAGCACAGGTCATCCCAGAAGGCACTGGGCAACCCACCCCAAGCCTAACAATATATTAAGTGTTGGGTGTAGGGATGGCTTCTCTTTTCTCTCAAACTTGACAGCACTGTTGAATCATTGTCTTCATTTACTTATGAGATGATTGGCATTGTCCTTTAAAGCAGAACAACTTGAGCTAAAGCTAAAGGCCGGTGTGCAGCAGCCGGGTGACCCTTTGTCTCTACTTTGCCTTCCGTGCTAAGTGTTGACTTCTGCTGAGTTTGATTTCATTCATTTCAGCTAGACATGTCTGGTGAATAAACTTCTTACCAATCTTCCCCTGGAATGGTTGAGTCAGCTCTGGTGTGAGTTAGTGGCCCCAGAGGGGAGCAGGCCAAGACGCCCTCTCCATGAGATACCTCCTAAAAGGGAAGAGGTCATTGATGACCCACAAAGGAGGCCAGGACCATAAACATTTCAGAATTCAGTTGTCTTAAAATCTTAAATAATGACAAACATTTGCTTGTTTGAGCCTTTTAAGTCTTCCCGTCTTTGGACTTGAGCCCCAGTGCCTGGCTGCAGAATTCCATGGTGAGGCACAAGCATGACATCATGTTCAGGAGGAATGCACAGCACATAAAGTCTTGCCTGGGTCAGAGAGAAGTGCTAAGCCCTCAAGAGGGCCCTAAGACAAATGCACAAATATGGCCTAGCACATGTCAAACACCCGTGCAAGGGCAAACATCTTTATGACTTTGGTCCTGGGAAGAGAGACCCGGCTTGGGATTAGAAATTACAGCTGACAAGCTGCTGATGAGGCAGTAATGACATTCAGCGTGGGAATGGTCACTTTGGGAACTGGGAGCTTAGCACACTAGGCTCCAAGTCTCAGAGTGAAGCCCGGGGCAACTCCTTCACCTTGGCTGGAATAAGTTAACTCACCCCACAACCTGTCCCCCAGGACCTTTCTCTGCCTTCCTTTGGGGTTATAGGCTTCCCTGCAGTTCTTTAGGGTTTTGACGCACAGGACAATTTAACATCAAGGGAATGCCCAAGTTGGGGGAAGAATATCTTTCTTGGCTATAAATGTTACTCTGAAATTCTTCTCAACTGTAATGTTTTAAGAGCACTTACAATGTGCCTGACCTGCCCTGTGCAATGTCCCTCCCCTCTTAGAGCTTACAACTCATAAGCACGCTTGCAGATGTCCTCCCTGATCCCCAGAGCTCCAGCCAACTTCAGTGTAGGGGTCCCCTAGGGGACATTTAGCAATGTCTCGAGATGTTTTTTGACTGCCACAACTGGGTGGGGGGGGCGGTGGCTGTTACTGGCATGTAGGGGATAGAGACCAGGGAGGCTTCTAAACATCCTATAATGCACAGGACATCCCCACCCCCAACAAAGAAGAATCCAGTCCAAGATGGCAATAGTGCTAAGCCTGAGCAACCCTGCACTGGGGAGGGCCTTGCCTTTGCATAAGCCAAGAAGGAAATTACTTAGATTTGCACCATCCAATGGGGAGCTTCCTGTGAGACCAGAAATGATCAGTATCTGTGCTGTCCGATGTGGGAGCTACCAGCCACATGTGGTTATTGAGTGGGTCAAACGTGGCCAGTGTGACTGAGGTAGTGAGTTTTTTATTTTATGTAATTTTAATTAATTAAATTGTAATCGTCCCATGCAACTGGTAGCTACTCTGTTAGGCAGCACGAGTCCATACAGCGGGAGCTTAGATGCACTGAGATCACCTGCCCCCTAGTCAGATGTCCTTTCCACTGGTTTATGACTGAGAATCCAAAGTTAGACACTCCTTCTTTAGCTAAGACTTTAACCCGTGTTGGTATGACATTATCTGTGGGAGGGAGAAGACCTTTAACTTGTAAAGAGCTGTTGCTAATTTAATATGACTAACGGATCTGAAAGATATTTTGGCGGGAACAGAGAGCACTAAGAGGCCTAGGGTAAAAAACAGGACCCCGTGAGAATGACCAGGGGGTAAGCTTGGGGAGGGGCTAACTAGGATACACTGGGGGAGGTGGAGACATAGGCTAGACGTAGCAAAGGCAACCAGTGCTTTCTTTCCTCATATACACTCTGCTGAGACTGGAAGCCAATCACTCAGCATTCTCATCAGACTCATGTCTGTGAAAACCAGAGCCAAAGAGTGCCAGGAAAGACAAGGTCCGTGACAAAGGGCAGCCTGTTTCCTGCTTTTTCTCTTCCTCCTTGTGGCTTTTAGTCTAAGTCCCCAAGCACTGAAATATTTTGGTGCCTCCTCCCATATATAAACCCAGATTAAAGCAATACTAAACCACAAAACATAAAATGATTTCTTTTTATCAGTTATAAAATTCTGGATAAGTCCATGAAAGCCTCATTGTTCTGACTTTGGCTGGCACCCCAAGCAAGTAAGCACCTTGTTGTTAACCTAGCACTGCTTTAGGGTCTGAGTATTAGGGCTGTTTTCTCCGTAATCCGTTGTTTATCTAGTCTATTGTGCAAATTTTCACAAATGGAATATTGTGTAGATACTCTACTCTACAGACTCTAGAGAAGAAAGTCAGCAACCTCACCTGGTAAGCTCCACCTACCCATGTTTCTAGAGAGGGGAAAAAATAGCTGAAACAAATCAAACCAAACCCAAAATGCTCTTTTCCTCAATGTTCTGCAGGGCTCAAATGTGAGCTTCTGGTAGTATCGGCTTTGGTGATCTCCATGGGGAACAGTGGAGACTGATCTCAAACAGTGAGTTCACCAGAATTATGGCAGTGAAGGGGAACTGCGGTATAAGAATTGCTAAAAAGATAAAAATTGTTCTGTCCAGAGAGACGCAAGTTGAGAGAGATGTAGGGCTGAGAGAATAGATAGTTGTGAGCATTTACTCCTCCACAAATCATGAGTTTTTCTGAAGCAACAGGGTGAGGCGGGGGTGGGGGGTGTGGACAGGAAGGTAGATAAATTTAAAACAGTAAAATAGTAAAAGGAAGTATTATATAAAACAGTGTGGCGGTGGTGGGAGTGGGGAGGAGATATGACTTAAGAATTTTTTATCCCAACGCTAAAGGGTGCAAAAATAAAAGGGTTCAAAAAATGTTTAAATGTAAAATGACAGTTCCATAACAAATTATTGACTGGAGGAAACTGAAGATGTTTAAAGCTAATCTCATGAGATTAGCATAGGAGGTGCTCCATCTCCTTCCAAAAACGACCCCTTGCCATTCTCCAAAATGCAACACTTAGACCTGCCTGATCATGAATCTTTGGGTTTATTTCATATGGCCACACTTGTTGTGGAATAAGGTCAATTAAACCTCACGGGTAAGTTTGCAATTAACTGACATTTGACATAAGCAGCTTTTACGGGTTGGTGCTGAAACAGGCTGAGAAACACAATCCCTCCCTGGGTAGAACTAGGAGCTTTCCTGTGGCAGCAGCAAGCCCAGACATACAGAGGGCTGGAGGGGAGCTGTAGTTCAAATGCAGTAATAGCTGTTTTTAAACTGATCCGCTCTAAGTCTTTGAGTGCAATGGCTGATTATTGGGTCAACAAACATGAAAAGCATTGTCATTGGCCCAAGTTTGAACCAGAAGCAACATGTCTTTCATGAGCATTTAGGATGAAAGATGTAAGATTAGAAAAAAATGTTGGTAACAGTGAGCATCATTTGAGGGTCTTTGTAATGTGTGTTTTGCCCTAAGAGGAAAAGTAAGGCAAGATCTATGAAATGTCCTTGATCTTTTTGCAACCTAGAGTTGTAGGCCCTGCATTACCTTCATGTTTCCATTTCAAGAACTGCCAGGTTTGTTTTCCAATGAAACTTTCAACTGTCAGCTTAATAAGACTGTGACCATGTGGTGCAGTGAACAATGGTTCAAGGACTACTTCACTGAGTGTGAATTTGACTACATTATGCCTATTCTTAAAATCCTTAAAATTCATCAATGGTTCTCCATTACCTCCAAGACTGGGAGTTTCCTTGCTAGGATGTACCACTCTCATCTCTCGCCTCACATTGCGCTACGTCCGCTTCTCCAAATGCTCCAAGTTCTCTTGTAACACCACAGCCTTGCACGTGCCATGCCTTCATTTTAGAATCATACATGCCTTCTCTACAAAACCATCCTAAGCAGCTCTTGAATTAGATGCTCCTTTGCACTCTGTGCTTAACTTGTTTACAGCACACGTCGTGTTCTATTTAAGTGACCTCCCAACTAACCTGTGAGATTCCAGAAGCTGGGTGAGTGTGCTCTGGAACTGATTCTTCTGCTAGATGCTGAGAACATGTGGGCAATGGCACGTTCTCAGCATCTAGCACCATCCCAGGCACAAGTGGAGCAGAGGTAGATCTGTGCTTGATGATTGAATGGATGAGTTTCAGTGAACTGTGAATGATGGGGAGCTTTTCAACAAAGCCACACTCCATGTTTTCTCTTCAGCAAAATAAATGCTGCATAGAAGCGGTTAATAGTCCCCCTTATGTCAGCTCAGCACATAGATATATGAGGAGTCCCACGGTTTCCCATAAGCCAAATAAGACAAAGTAAAAGCAATAATGGTCCATACACTTCAGAAAAAGGAAGGAAGGAAAAAAGGAAGGAAGGAAGGAAGGGAGGGAGGGAGGGAGGGAGGGAGGGAAGGAAGGAAGGACAATTTTCCCATGAGTCTACTGTCAGTGAAAGCTATTATTTAAATAGCATTTTTTTCCGAGGCTTTGTCTATCAGCACAAAGAAGAAAGTGAAATATATTGGGTTCCATCCATGAGATTAAAAGAGGAACATCTTTCAGTTCCCAATCAATCAAAAGACACAGGTTGTGTTTCAATCAGAAGCCATTTCTGAAGAGGCACAGGAGCGTAGGAGAGTTGTGTTAGGCAATGGAAACCAAACTGAGCCTGAAATGAAAGCCTGGGTCAATTAGTCAGTTTCTTTCCCAATATCTGCCCTAACATTGTCTTCTAAGTTTTTGGAAATGAATACGCTTTATTATTCACCTCAGTTGGATTTATTGTGCCTCACAGGTATTGACTCCTCTTGCTCTTCCTCCTCTCGCTATGGAAAGACTGAGCAGAGGAAGTGCTCGGACAGGCATGCCCTCCCAGAATGCAAGAAAGCCATCAGGCAAGCGGCAGGTGCAGAGACCACAGCCAGGGCCACACAGCCTGGAGAGGGACTCCCTCCTGGCAGGGAAGGCTGTCTCTACTTGCTCCTCTCTGAGAATGCTCACCAGGTGTGGCTGGGGGTTTTGGCAGCCTGCAGCTGTGTTTAGGAGGGCATTTGCTTTATCTACCACATCCTTTGAGGATTTCATTGCAGGCCATTTTATCCACTTTAATGAATGTTCTGGCAGCTTGTGAACCTGGGGCTGTGTCTGCATGCCCTGAACAGTGCTTATGTTCACCATCGTTGAGGTTGAATGTAACATATATTCACAGATCCTTCTGCCACCTCCTTTTCACAAGATGGACCCTCCAGTTCTGGCCAAAACAAGAAGAAAGCTGTAAAAAGAAGGGCTTTAGCCCAAAAGTTGGGGTTGCTCAGTTTTTTTCCTTTCCCTCATACCCCATCAGCTAATTAATCACCTCCTACTGCAATTTATAATTCCTTAACAGTTTTCAAATCTGTCCTCTAGATTAGCTAAATAAATATAGCACATCAATCAAAAATCAAGTTCTATAAAGTTACTAATAGGGAAATATATAAAGTGGAAAAAGCTGTTTATAAAAGTCTGAGTAAATGACTATATATGTACATAGATATGATTTTGAAAAGAACTTAATAGGATACACAAACATTAATAAGAATGCTTATTTCTGAGTAATTAAGGGGCGATTTTGTTGTATTCCTTATACATTTTAAATGTTTTAATCCAAAATTTTTTACAGTGAGTATGTATTATCTTTTGTCATCTGAAAAATAACACAAATAAATAAGTTAAAATAGAATTAACTGAATTTGTACAAATCGGGCAAGATAAGGGTGCCCCTGTTTTCTCTATTCATGCCACCGCTACCACTGTTTAGACTATTGGTCATAATTTTTTTCTCACCTGCAAATATCTCCTTGCCTGTTACTTTCTCTTCAGTTTCTTTCCCCATTATTCATTCTCTCTGAAAATATTAGGTTGGAGCAAACGTTAATTGCATTTTTGCATTGTTGGAATTTGCTGTTTGATATTGGAATACATTCTTAAATAAATGTGGTTATGTTATACATCATTTTAATGGGCATTTCTCGCTTTATGTTTTTTTGCTAATGACTTACTACTTGCTGTTTATTTTATGTTTATTTTAGACTATGGAAATGATGTTAAACAAAAAGCAAATTCAAGCAATTTTTTAATTCAAGTTCAAAATGAGTTGTAAAGCAGCAGAGACAACTGGCAACATCAACAACACATTCGGCCCAGGAACCACTAACAAATGTACAGTGCAGTGGTGGTTCAAGAAGTTTTGCAAAGAGGACGAGAGCCTTAAAGATGAGGAGTGTGGCGGCCAGCTGTTGGAAGTTGACAATGACCAATTGAGAGCAATCATTAAAGCTGATCCTCTTACAACTACACGAGAAGTTGCCGAAGAACTTAACATCGACTGTTCTACTGTTCTTTGGCATTTGAAGCAAATTCAAAGGGTGAAAAAGCTCGGTAAGTGGGTGCCTCATGAGTTGACTGAAAGTAAAAAAAAATCACCATTTGGTGGTGTTGTCTTTTCTTATTCCACACAACAACAATGAACCATTTCTTGATCGGATTGTGACATGCAATGAAAAGTGGATTTTATACAACAACGAGTGACGACCAGGTGAGTGGTTGGACCGAGAAGAAGCTCCAAAGCACTTTCCAAAGCCAAACTTGCACCAAAATATGGTCATGGTCACTGTTTGGTAGTCTGCTGCCAGTCTGATCCACTACAGCTTTCTGAATCCTGGCGAAATCACTACATCTGAGAAGTCTGCTCAGCAAATCAATGAGATGCACTGAAAACTGCAGTGGCTGCAGCTGGCATTGGTCAACAAAAAGGGACAAATTCTTCTCCACAACAACACCCGACTGCACGTCATACAACCAATGCTTCAAAAGTTGAGCGAATTGGGCTACAAAGTTTTGCCTCACCCACCATATTCACCTGACCTCTCGCCAACCGACTACCACTTCTTCAAGCATCTCAACAACTTTTTGCTTCCACAACCAGCAGTGTGCAGAAAATGCTTTCCAAGTGTTCATTGAATCCCAAAGCACAGACCTTTATGCTACAGGAATAAACAAACTTATTTCTCATTGGCAAAAATGTGTTGATAGTAATTGTTCCTATTTGAATTAATAAAGATGTGTTTGAGTCTAGTTATAAGGATCTAAAATTCACAGTCCCAAACCACAATTCCTTTTGCACCAATCTAATATATTTCAAAGAAGGAAATCTGACCAAGTGGCTCCTCTAAATCTTCCAGGGTTTCCTGGAGGATAAAGAAGTCCCAAATCCTCAGGCTGAAGATAAGCTCCTTCAGAAGCTCGTCTGCACTTGAGATTTACTTCCAACTCCTGTCTCCATTCCTGGTAACCAGGAGTCTGTCTGGGCTCCCCCGCTTGAGACACGACATGCCCCAGGACTCCCTTTTCCCTAGTCACCTCCTCCTGCCCTCACCTCCCTCAGAGTCAGCCTTTCACAGTCATCTCTTATGACACTTCTCATAGGCCACCTTCCTTGGCATCGCCAAGTGGAGTTAACGGTTTTCTTTCTGCCTTGGTCATGGCTCTACATTTACTATACTATAGTGATATAATTATAGCCATGTGCCACTTGACGATGGGGACGTGTTCTGAGAAATGCATTGTTAGATGATTTTGTAATTGTACAAAGTGCATAGAGTGTACTCACACAAACCCAGATGGTAGAGCCTACTACTTACCCAGGTTATTTGGTCTAGCCTATTGCTCCTAGGCTACAAAAGTAGACAGCATGTCACTGTACTGAATATTGTAGTCAATGGCAACACAATGGTAAGTATTTGTGTATGTAAATACTTCCTACCTAAACATAGAAAATGTTCAGTATGAATATGGATATAAAAGGTAAAAAGTGGCACATCTGTATAGAGCAGCTACCATGAATGGTGCTTGCAGGACTGGAAATTGCTCTGGGTGAGTCAGTGAGTGAATGTGAAGGCCTCGGACATTACCGTACACTACTGTAGACTTTATAAATACTGTACATTTAGGCTACACTACATTTATCAAACAATTTTTCTTACTCCAATAATAAATTACCCTTAGCTTACTATAACTTCTTCTACTTTATAAACTTAAGAAAAATTAAAACTTCTTTACTCTTTTGTAATTAAAAAGAAAGACACTAGAACACGTATTAGCCTAGCCCTACATGGGGTCAGGATCAGCAGTATTGCTGTCTTCCACCTCCACATCTTGCCCTGCTGGAGGATCTTCAGGGGCAATGACATACAGGGACCTGCCATCTCCTAGAATGCCTTCTTGGCTGGGCGCGGTGGCTCACACCTGTAATCTCAGCACTTTGGGAGGCTGAGGCAGGCGGATCATGAGGTCAGGAGTACGAGACCAGCATGGCCAATAGTTGAAACCCTGTCTCTACTAAAAATACAAAAATTATCTGGACGTGGTGGAGCATGCCTGTGGTCCCAGCTACTCAGGAGGCTGAGGCAGAGGAATCTCTTGAACCCAGGAGGCGGAGGTTGCAGTGAGCCCAGATCATGCCACTGCACTCCAGCCTGGGTGACAGAGTGAGATTCTGTCTCAAAAACAAAAACAAAAACAAAACAATGCCTTCTTCTGGAATACTTCCTGAAGGACTTGCCTGAGACTGTTTTAAAGTTAATTTTTAAAAATAAGGAGAAATTGTACACTCTAAAATAATGATTAAAAGTATACTATAGTAAAAACAAACTAGTAAAATAGTAATTCACTATCATCAAATATTATAGACTGTACACAATTATATGTTGTGGCAATGCAGTAGTTTTGTTGACACCAGCATCACCACAAACATGTGAGCAATGCATTATTATGTGATGTTAGGATGGCTACAATGCCACTAGGTGATAGGAAATTTTCAGCTTCATCATAGTCTTGCGGGACCACGGTCCTATATACGGTCTGTTGTTGACTGAAGCATAGTCACTTAGTGCATGCCTGCATTATTTTATGTGTCTTTTCTCCACCTGAAGGGCAGGAGGATGTTCTGTCCAACTCCGTCCCTGGCTCTCAGTGCAGTATCGGGCATCAGTAGGTGTTTAATAAACATTGCTGTGTGCACATGCCTTTAGCTGGCATGGATGGGGAGGGAAGAGCAGGGGATCTGAGTTTTGTTTCATGGATTTATCGCTCCAACAAGCTGTTGTTCTTAGTTAAGCAAGTTTAAGCTCTCTTCTTTCCTCAGAGGATGGTAGTGCGTTAAAAAATATTAAGGTTTTCAATCATACCAGCGTGTATTCACTTTATACATCTCGGGCATGAGGAGATGCATGTTACTATCTGTGCTTCATAGACACATAGCAAAAACCTCCCCTCAGTAAGCAGTTTAACTCTGGGTAAGTGTCCCTTGGTGTCATGAGTTGAGTGCTGTCCCCTCCAAATTCTTATGCTGAAGTCCTAAGCCCCAGTGCCTCAGAATGTCATCTTATCTGGAAATAGGGTTGTTGCAGATGTCATTGGTTAACCTGAAGTCACTAGAGCACACCCCTAATCCAATGACTGGTGTCCTTATAAAAGTGGAAAATTTGGACATAAACACACATGCACACAAGGACAGTGACACATGAACATGAAAGCAGAGATTAGGGTGATGCCTCTACAAGCCAAGGAATGCCAAAGACGGCCAGCAAACACCAGAAGTTAGGAGAGAGCCACAGGTTCTCCCTTGCAGCCCTCGAAAGGAGCCAATCCTCCTGACACCCTTGATCTCAGCCTTTTAGTCTCCAGAACTGGGAGACAATAAATGTTTGCTGTTTAAGTCACTCAGTTTGTGTTTTTGTTTTTTAACAACAGCCCTAGCAAACTAATACTCTCAGGGACCCTTAAGTGAAGCATCAGAAAGAAGCACTTTATCCTAAATCTCCCTTATTGAACTATCATTTTGAAAGCCATCATCTGGGATGATTCTGGAGCCCTTTGCAAATGGGAAAGGAATGGACGCATTCCAGCTCTTTTAAAAATTAAATTAGGCTGAGCGCAGTGGCTCACACCTGTAATCCCAGCACTTTGGGAGGCCAAGGCAGGCAGATCACAAGGTCAAGAGATCGAGACCATCCTGGCCAACATGGTGAAACCCCATATCTACTAAAAATACAAAAATTAGCTGGGTGTAGTGGTGTGTGCCTGTAATCCCAGCTACTTGGGAGGCTGAGGCAGGAGAATTGCTTGAACCTGGGAGGCAGAAGTTGCAGTGAGCAGAGATTGTGCCACTGTACTCCAGCCTGGCGACAGAGCGAGACTCTGTCTCAAAAAAAAAAAAAAAAAATTAAACTATGGTTGTTATTTTCTTTTTTCCTATTCTTTTTTAATTTTTTCAACCGAGAAATAAAACTATCTGGATCTAGGTGCATATACAAATAAATTCAAAAGATATAGACTGAAACATAAGTCTCCTGTTTATCTTTATTTTCAGTCCCAGCTACCCAATTTCCCTCCCCCAGAGGCATCCTTTGTGTGTGCAACCTTATGTATGTGCAGATGTACATTTCATTTTTCTCATAATTGTCATACACTATATAATTATCTATATATTGCATTTATCACTTTATTATAAACATTGGAGATAACTATTAAAATACCAAACATGCCTCATTCTTTTTGATGACTGCATAGTATTTCTTTGATAGATATATTTTCTGCCTATTTAAAATACATTCTCAGCTGACTTTCTCAATCAAAACAAACAGCATTTCCAAGGTAATCACTTCTCAGCCTGGATGAGGCTGAGCCTTTCCACTGCTCTCTCCCTCATTAAATAAATGGATACTCTTTTTCTACTTGAGGTAGTTAGATATGCCTCAACCTCTATGAAAACCTACTTTTCTCATGTTTTATACAGGTGTGGCCAAAGTGGAGCAGCTTATGTCTGTTGTGCAACTGGTGCATCCTGCCCCACCAGATCATATTTCACCAAGTTTTTCTCCTCTGATGAGCTATGCTAAAAATGATCAATTGGACACATGTTATGCCAGATGAAATGTGAGACAACATTCATTAATCACAACCTTTGATTAGCGTATTCATTGCCTTCCTGTGACCTGTGGGCCATTATTCACTTTCTCAATTCTGCTGCACTGAGATTTCAGGACTTGACTGGGTTCTCTCTATTTGCATTTCTAGAACCTTTCTTAAATTCTCATAGAAACAACTGGGAAATGCTTCTTGTTAAACAAGACTGTGCTTGCATTTGTCATCTAATTTCCAAAAATAAGTTAATAAAGCCATTCAGCTGTACGGTAATGATATCCTACTTCTTATGGTTGATTCCAAATGTGAGCTTAAGGGGATAATAACCATGTTGAACTCATAATTTTTCACTTTGAATTTAAGAAGCTCTTTAAACATTAGTGATGGCCGCAAGTTCAGGTGACCTTCAGAATTCCCTTCCCTTTCCACAGTCTCTGTATCTAATCCATTCTTCAAACCCTAACTCATTGCCTCTCAATAGTCTTCAAAGATCTCCTCAGCCTGAATGAATAACGCCTCAGCCTTCCCTCCTTATGCAAGAGCTGACAGCATGGACCTCTACTTGGCTCTAATTTCCTTCAGTCTTGTTTTTGAGATATTTTTTCTATGCCAGTTGCACATATCTCTTGAGAATCAGAATTGAGTGTGGTACCCTTTATTCACAGAGTAGATCAATGTCAATGTCCACAGGGTACAGTAATAATCATCAGACATTCAGCCTCTCAGATAGTAATAGTTAACATTTGTAGAACGCTTACTTCATATGCACCAGGTATAATTTAGAGAATTTGACAGGAATTATATGCACCAGGTATAATTTAGAGAATTTGACAGGAATTATCTCATTTAATCGTCATAATATCTTTTATGTAATAGGTATTCTTATTATTTCCATTGTATAGAAATAAAGAAAGACAGTTGAAGTCACTTGCCTAAAGTCACACAGCCAATCAGACTTCAGATGATGTGATCTTCCACACTAAGGTACCTGTCTCCTCGTGAGCCCCAAACTCTAGGAAATGAATAAAAACTCAGCCATCGACCTTGAATAATTCAGAATTTTAATTAGATTTGCAAGTTTAGTCAATAGATTCTCTCAATGGCCTTCTAATTCAGCACCCTGCTTTTGTCCTGGAGGTGTTTCCAAGAGCTAGTGTGATTCTGTTAAAACCTAAATCAGTTCTTGGCCCCAAACTTTCCAATGACTTTTCATCTCACTAGAGTAAAAGCTAGAGTGCAGATAATGGCCTATGAAGCCAAACAGTGTCTTTCCCACCACCATGCCTCTCTGACCTACTGTCCTACTCTCTCTGTCCTTAGCTCTCGTGCTCAGCCATGTTGCCTCCCTACCGTTCTAAGTCAGGCAGGCATGCTTCTGCCTCCCACCCTTTCCATTGACGTCCCCCTGTTTGAAACTCTCTTCCCCTAGTTAGTTATCCCACAATCTTCTTTGGATTATGACCTGAAGGGACACTTCTCAGGCTACTGACTGTGATGGAATGACTAGTTTCAGACTATTTCGTCTCCTGTAAACAATTAGAAAACAGGACAAGGTATGTGAAGCAAGATAGTTTTCAGACAATGGAAAATAAACAACACCAGACTGCAAAAATGGGGAGAGGGGAGTGTGAGGTGAGCCCCACAGTAGTCCAGCTGTCTGCCTGGAGACTTGAGTTTGAGCAGAGCACAGGACTCTTGCTGGGCTGAAGAGGCAGGGATCAGAATCTGAGGCAACTGAAATAGCTGGAATCTGTGCAAAGACAAAGCCCTAGAAGTCCTTGCATGCGTATGGGAAGCCCCTCCCTCAGTCCACGGCTGAGGGCTTGACTGTATATGTGCAGGGAAAACCATCAGAGGCTTGCCAGATGTCAGCTGCTATGAGGTTGAGACTGAAACAGTATAACAGAGGTTGAGAAGTTCTGGGTGTAAATATGCGAACATTTAGATTAAAATTAAAATTGAGTTCCTCAGTCACACTAGTCACATTGAAGTGTTCAATAGCCACATGTGGCCAGCAGCTGTCCTATTGGATGGTGCAGACACAGAACACTTTCTTCATTGCAGGTACTATTGAAGAGTGCTGAGCTAGAGCTTCTACAATGTAACATTCACAATGCCCAGTATTCAATGATAAATCACTAGACATAAAAACCAACAAAAACCATACAAGGGTAGTGTAATCCATAGTAAAAAATGAAAGCAAAGGAACTATTCTAAGATGGACCAAATGTTGGATTTAGAAAATAAAGACATTAAAACATATATGTTTTACAATATATATTCAAAAAATATATTAATTAATTAGAGACAAATGGCCCTAAGTTGTGAGTAAATGAGGAATTTTTAGTAGATAAATGGGAACCCTAAAAAGAAACAAATGGAAATTCTAGAATTGTGCAATGCCTGAAGTGAATCATTCATCGGAAGAGCTTGCCAGCAGGTTGGAGATGATAGAAGAAAAAGTGAAGTTGGAGACACAGCAGTAGAAAATATCAAATCTGAAGAACAGAAATAAAAAATATTAAGGAAAAAATGAACAAAGGGTCAAAGACCTATGGAACAATATCAGACAGTCTAACTTACGTCTATTTGGTGTCCCAGAAGGAGGAGAGAGAGAGAGAGAGCAGAAAAAATATCTGAAGAAATAGTGGCCAAGAGCTTCCCAAAATTTTAAAAAATGACTTAAAAATCCACGAAGCCCAAGTAAGATGAAGATAAAGGAAGCCCCACCTAAGTACATCAGTCAAATGACTGAACACTGAAGATAAAGTAGAATGTTAAAAGCAGCCAAAGAAAAAGACACATACAGAGGAACAAAGTTAAGAATTATTACTAGTGCTCATCAGAAACAGTAGAGGCTAGAAGACAATGAAACAACATCTTTGGAGATGTAAAAATCCTATTCACACAGAATTCTATATAAATTGAATAAAAATAGTCTTCAAAATTGAAGGTGAAATGAAGACATTTTCAGATAAGCAAAATCTGAGAAGATTCATCACAAGCAGATCTGAACTACAGGCAATGCTAAAGGATGTTCTTCAGTATAAAGAGAATAGTACCAGGAAGAAACCACACAAAGAATGAAGAGTAATAGAAACAATAAGTAACTGAGTAAACAAATTATAAAACATTCATACAATAGACTCAGTAATAAAAAAATAATGACTGATAAATGCAGTAACATGGCTTCAACTAACCAAAGGAAGCCACATTCAAAAGACTTAACATGCATAGTTGCATATTAAATTCTAGGACAGGAAAAACTAACCTATAATGATGTAAATAGTATCTGTGGTAGCTTGAGTGGGAGTAGGAGACTAAATATGAAAAAGAAAGAGGGACGTTTCAAGGAAATGGAAATTTTCTGTAGCTTGATTAGGGTAGTGGATGTATACATTAGTCAAAAGCCACTCATCTGTACACTTAAAATGTGGGAATTTTACAGAAGATAAATTACACCATGGTAACATTGGCTGAAAAAAAAAACCTTAAAAAAGGTAACTTCGGCCCAGTGCCGTGGCTCACGTCTGTAATCCCAGCACTTTGGGAGGCTGAGGCGGGTGGATCATGAGGTCAGGAGTTCGAGACCAGCCTGACTAACATGGTGAAACCCCGTTTCTACTAAAAGTACAAAAAATTAGCTGGGTGTGGTGTCATGCGCCTGTAATCCCAGCTACTCAGGAGGCTGAGGCAGGAGAATTGCTTGAATCTGGGAGGCAGAGGTTGCAGTGAGTGGAGATGGCGCCACTGCACTCTAGCCTGGGCAACAGAAGGTGGCTCTGTCTCAAAAAAAAAAAAAAGTACCTTCTCAATGAGGCTTTCCCTGAGTACCCTATTTAAAACTGCACCCCACTACTCCACTACTCCCTAGCACATATCTCTGTCTAACACACTGGATATTTTTGTCTTGCTTTATATTACCTCCTAGAATGTAACTTCCATTTGGGCAAGAACTTTTGCCTGTTATGTTCAGAGCTGTGGACCATACCAAGAACAGTGCCTAGCACAAAATGCATGCTCAATAAATTTACATGAATGAATGAATAAAGGAATATATGAATGAATGAATTTACCTTCTTTACTGCTATCAGATATAAGATGAGTAGACAGGCTAAAATCATACTGTGAAACTCAATATGCTGTGAAACTCAAGACACCAGATTTTAGTCTAATTCCAATTTACAGGGCAAGAAACCTAAGTAAAAGGGTATTAAACATAGACTAAATACACGGGCCAGCAGTTGGCATGCTATGTGAGGTGCTTCATCTAGGCTCTTGGGTGAACTATAGATGTTTACAATAAAGGTAACCAGATATCTGTCTGTACTTTATCCATTGGAAGATAGGACTGTTTTAGAGAATTAGGATAAGGGGGAGAGAAGTGAAGTTATTTCTCAAGAGACAGGGTGAGTAGGCTGCTATCTATCACCAAGCAATCTACTACATCCTGGCCTCTTTTAAGTTTTCAGTGAATTAGTAAGTCTAAACTCTTAGGTGTAGTGGGCTCATGACACTTGGGTTGCATACATCTCTGGCTACAAAAATGTGCTGATAAGAATATGTGATAGACATAATATTCTAACATGAATGTGAGCGCAATTCCACAGTTAGAAATCTCACATAACATCAAATTCCAGAGAGTTAAAAAAATTCACCTGGTCCACTCTGTTGGAAAGTCCCCGTTGTTGAAGATGTTTATCCTGGAGAAAGAGGGCACCTTCAAAGTGGCGAAAGGCTAAGATAGGAGTGTGGACAAAATATCAGCAGCATCCCATGGCAACACATTCCTGTCGTAAGCATCACACTCTTCCAAAGAAAAGATCAAGCTGCATTTAAGTTTCAGGTGGGGCATGTTTATTTCAGGTAAGCAGTTGATAAAATAAGATTCCAATCTACAAAGTCATGTGGATGACTCTGCAGTGTGTGACCTCAATGCCACCTCCTTCGGGGCAAACTCCAGCCTATGGCTGATCTCTACTGCACCTAGATGGCATAGCACATGCTTTAGCATGTGACTACAATCTGCTTGGTGCTGTGTCCAGGTTGTTAGCCAGCACTGCGCCTCTCCTCCTGTGTCCATCATGAGCATCAGCCTCTCCAGCCCTGATGTTCAGAACACAGTTACCTTATCTCCTCATTTGCTTTTATTACTAAAAATCCCTTTCATTTCTTGTTTTCCCATCTCTCTTTCTTTTCCCCTACTCTCCACCCATTACAGAGTCAGTATTCAAAAAAAAGTGGAGATTGGGAACAGGTGTGGAAAAGAGTCGAAGTACTCATACTTCTCATTTCAAGCCCTTCTGCTGGTTAAAATTATAAATGCCAGGAGTCAGCCCTTTCAACAAAAAGGAAAGGAATCTGGGGGAATTCTTGTGGAAGTAGAGAAGATATTATGGAAGAAAGGTATTTTTGTAAGATCTTGTCTAGAATAGGGCGGTGGAGAAGAGGGCTTAGAAAGAGGGACCGGGGTGAGGCAGGATGAGAAGGGGAGTGAGAGTAAGAGAGAAAATAAACTTACAGATTCTTAGAGAAGAAGGAGGGAGAAGAAATCCACCCAAGGGAATATCAAAGATAACTCAGCAGGGAAGAGCTGGGGCTAGGGAATGAGAGATGAAGATGAGCTGATTTAATGCTTTAAATCTAAGCCAAGAAAACTGAGTGACAAGGAACTGTGACATCTGTGACTTATTTTGACAGTGTCTTGTTTTGGGCAGTGTGAGGGAGTGTCAGGGTTTTGAGTTACTTGTACATGGAGCTGTCTTGGTTCTCAGGACAGCAATAGAAGAGATGGAGCATCGAGCAAGACAGCAGGTGAGAGAGAGAGAGTGTGTGTGTGTGTGTGCTACATTTGAACACCTTAAAGGAGACTCACCTCCTGCCAACTATATGTGGAGCCAGGATCTCCGCACATCCCTATGCTGTGATAGCTACAGGGGATCGTGGCTTCACTTCCAGGGGAACCTTAGATCATACAAGATGGGAACTGCTCTTAGCTCTCCTGTCTTCCGCCACCAAGTTTCCAAAGAGACTTCCTGGAGTAGGAATGATCTTTTCACCCTCATCAACACTGGTAGAGGACTTTTCTCTGAGTAGAAAGTACATGACACATCATGCATTGGTTGCAAACACCAATACAGTAGGAAGTAAAGCAGCATTTTAGCTGAGATCGAAGGCCAAGTCAGTGTGAGAGACAGAGCATAAACAATTTCCAAGTTTATCTTGTACCACCATTCCCTGGCTCATGCCTTGCAGGCCAACTGGCCTCCTGGTTGTTCCTCGAACACAACTTCTGCACCTGCTCTGTTTGCGTAAAAGCTCTGATCTCAGACCTCCAGGTACTCTGCCCCCAGGACCTCCCTATCTAAGGCATCTCCTACAACACCATGTCTCATTTTCAGGTTCTTCATGGCACTTGCCACTCTCTGACATGGTCTAGCGTGTTTATTTATTTATTTGGCTTTTTTGTGTCTCCACCATTAGCATATAAGCTCCATGATAACAGGGATCTTGTCTATTTTCTCCAGCACTGGGGACAGTGTCTGGCACACAGAAAGTCTTCAGAAGATGCTCTTTGAATGAACAAACATGGCTGTGAATGTAATATTTGTACCTTTTATGTTCCATGGAAGGGTTTTGTTCTGCACTAGGTACTGATTCAGTACATTCTCCCAGTCCTACTATTCCATGTCATGATGGTGGCAGCCCTTAACTGACTAAAGAATGTGGGAGACCAGTGCTAACAGTTCAAGACCCACCCAAAAGAGCAACGCTGTTAATTAAGGGAACAAATGTCTGTGGTTCACTTTCGTTGTACTGTTATAAGAAGGCTCGGAGGCCCCCCCCCCCGAGGTGAGTGGAAAGCCCTCTCTTTACTGGGTAAAATAAACCCAATTATGATGGATACACTAGAATTCCCAGGCAAAGATGTCTTGGCTCTGTCTTTGATTCATCTCCATAGTTTCTGTTTGAGGCTGGTCTGGACTCTCATCGGGGAAGGAGGGGGCTGGGGAGGACTGGAGTTATAGATAGGATCTGGACTGACTGCTGGTTGAGCAGCCACTTTCAACTTTTCAAGGCTCTTGACTTGCTTTGATCACTCAGCCAGTAGCTGCTTAGGGCAGCAACCCTGAATTTGTGCTTAGTAGGGGGCTGGCTCATGGGCACCCATGTGGAGAGGATGTGCAAACCTCTTTTCTCTGTGGGAGCTCATGCTCAGTTGGCTTCAGCCCAGAGCATCTTAGTCAGGACTGGCCTGAAATTTGTGTTGTGAAAGGTCAGCCAGCTTCTCCTGTTACCTGCTCCCCAAACTCCATTTCTATGCTCCAACCCCTTCCCCTCATCCTTCATGTATCTCCATGGGCTAAGAGGCCCCAAAGCACAACTCACCAGCCTGCTCTCCTCAGCCCTCTCCACCATCCCCTCCACTCTCCAGCTTCACCTCAGGTCCTTGTGTTTCCACCAGAAGAGCAAGCCCAAGAGGTGCAGGGTGGAGAGGAGCACTGGGGTACAAAGTGGAGAGGAGCACTGGGGTACAAAGATCGGATGTCTGGCCACTTCTTTTTATTTTCATGAGCTGCAACTTTGGGCAAGTCACTTCTCTCTGAGACTCAATTTCTTTATTTATAAATCTGGGATAAAAATCCCCAGCCTCCTACAAACCAAAAAAAGCCAAGGACCAGATGGATTCACAACCAAATTCTACCAGATGTACAAAGAAGAGCTGGTACTGAAACTGTTCCCAAAAATTGAGGAGGAGGGACTCCTTCCCAACTCATTCTATGAAGCCTGCATCATCCTGATACCAAAACCTGGCAGAGACACAACAAGAAAAACAAAACAAAACAAACAAACAAAAATAACCACTTCAGGCCAATATCCTTGATGAACATTGATGCATAAGCCCTCAGCAAAATACTAGCAAACCTTTCCAGCAGCCATCAAAAAGCTAATCAACCACAATCAAGTAGGCTTTATCCCTGGGACTCAAGGCTTGTTCAACATGTGCAAATCAATAAATGTGATGGGTCAAATAGAACTAAAGACAAGACCCACGTGATCATCTCAATAGATGAAGAAAAAGCTTTCAATAAAATTCAACATCCCTTCATGTTAAAAACTCTCAACAAACTAGGTACTGAAGAAACATACCTCAAAATAATAAGAGCCATCTGTGACAAACTCACAGCCAGCACATCACTGAATGGGCAAAAGCTGGAAGCATTCCCCTTGAAAACTGGAGCAAGACAAGGATGCCCTCTCTCACCACTCCTATGCAACATAGTATTGGAAGCTCTGGCCAGGGCAATCAGGCAAGAGAAGAAATAAAGGGCATCCAAATAGGAAGAGAGGAAGTCTATCTCTGTTTGCAGATGACATGATCCTATAGCTAGAAAACCCCATAGTCTCTGCCCAAACACTCCTTGAGCTGATAAGCAACTTCATCAAAGTTTCAGGATACAAAATTGATGTACAAAAATTACGAGCATTCCTATACACCAACAACAGTCAAGCTGAGAGCAGAACACAATCCCATTAACAACTGCTACAAAGAGAATAAAATACCTAGGAAACAGCTAACCACGGAGGTGAAAGATCTCTGCAATGAGAACTACAAAACACTGCTCAAAGAAATCAGAGATGACACAAACAAATAGAAAAATATTCCATACTCATAGATAGAAAGAATCAACATCATTAAAATGGACATACTGCCCAAAGCAATTTACAGATTCAATGCTATTCCTATCAAACTACCAATGACATTCTTCACAGAATTAGAAAAAACTATTTAAAAATTAGTATGGAACCAAAAAAAGAGTCTGAATTGCCAAAGCAATCCTAAGTTAAAAGAACAAAGCGGGAGGTAACACACTACCCAACTTCAAACTATACTACAGGGCTACAGTAACCAAAACAGCATGGTACAAAAACAGACACGCAGGCCAATGGAACAGAATAGAGAGCTCAGAAATAAAGCTGTGCACCTACAATCATCTGATCTTTGATAAAGTTGACAAAAACAAGCAACAGGGAAAGGAGTCCTGTTCAATAATGGTGCTGGAATAACTGGCTAGGCATTTACAGAAGATTGAAACTGGATCCCTTCCTTATACTATATACAAAAATCAACTCAAGATGGACTGAAGAGTTAAATGTAAAACCCAAAACTATAAAAACCCTGAAAGACAACCTAGGCAATACCATTCTGGGCTTAGGAACTGGCAAAGATTTCATGACAAAGATGCCAAAAGCAATCTCAACAAAAGCAAAAATTGACAAATGGGATCTAATTAAACTAATGAGCTTCTGCACAGCAAAAGAAACTATCACCATAGGGAACAGACGACCTACAGAATGGGAGAAAATATTTGCAAACTATGCATCTTACATCTGTCTAATATCCAGAACCCATAAGAAACTTTAACAAATTTACAAGAAAAAACAACGCCATTAAAAATTTGGCAAAGGACATAAAAAGACACTTTTCAAAAGAAGACATACATGTGACCAACAAGCATATGAAAAAAGCTTAATGCCACTAATCATTAGAGAAAGGCACATCAAAACTACAATGAGATACTATCTCACACCAGTCAGAATGGCTATTAACAAAAAATAAAAAAATAACAGATGCTTGCAAGATTGTGGAGAAAAGGGAATGCTTATATACCATTGGTGGGAGTGTAAATTAGTTCAACCATTGTGGAAAGCAGCGTGGTGATTTCTCAAAGGCCTAAAGACAGACATACCCTTTGACCCAGCAATTCCATTACTGGGTATATACCCAAAGAAATAGAAATCATTCCATCATAAAGACACATGCACATGTTATGTTTATTGTAGCACTATTCACAATAGCCAAGACATGGAATCAACCACAATGGCCATCAATGATAGACTGGATAAAGAAAATGTGGTACATACACACCATGGAACGCTATGCAGCCATATTAAAGAATGAGAGCATGTTCTTTGCAGAAACATGGATGGAATTGGAAGCCATTATCCTCAGCATACTAATCGGGAACAGAAAACCAAACACTGCATGTTCTTACTTATAAGTGGGAGCTAAATAATAAGAACACATGGATAGATGTGGGGAAACAACACACACTGGGAACTAACTGAGGGTGGAGGGTGAGAGGAGGGAGAGGAGCAGAAAAAACAACTAATGGGTACTAGGTTTAGTACCTGGGTCACCAAATAATCTATACAAAATCCCTCATGACATGAGGTTACCTATGTAACAAACCTGTATATGTACCCCTGAACCTAAAATAAAAGTTAAAAAAATAATCCTTGGCCTATCTAGCTTAGAGAGGCTCTTAGTTTGAAAGAGACAATGGATGGTGTGCAAATTGAAGGTCACATTATCCTTCTAGGCTGAGATGTTCATAGTTCACAGTTCTTCAGGAGCTGGCCTGGGCAATACAGTTTGATCTAATACACAATAAACTAATTGACAATTGGCTGTTAATGGCCAAAGAGTGCAAGGGTTATACCATTTACATGGCATATAAAAAAGGTACATATATATCTCCAATCTTTTCATGTACATCCAGTCCTAAGGAGGAAATTATTACAGGTACAGGATTTCAGTCTGACCTCAAGAGGCAACATCTTATGGGAAAAGAGGCTTTTGAACACTTAAGCCGTGGTTTTGACAATTGTCCTTTTGGCCATGCTCAAGGGTATACATACAAAGTCTTGTATCATCTGGGCAGGGCCAAAGATGCTACCACAGGCCACCATCACCATTACATAACTCATTATTTTGCAACTCTTGCCTCATCCAAACTGTGTTTTTCTCTCAGTTCAGTTTCTCTTTCAAAGGACCTGATTACAAATTGCAAAGGCCAGGCAGACCTGGGCAACCCCAAACAGAAGTCTCATCATCTGCTTTGGCAACTTCCTCCGTGACTAACTGTGGGAGCAGAAATACAGACTCACAGACTCTCAGAGTGGACAGGATCTTAGAGGTCGGCGAGCTTGGTCTTCCCTCAATGTCACTGGTACATCAACACAATGATTGGCTTATTGAGCCCCTACTTAGTGCCAGAGGTCATGGTGGGTGCTGGAGGGGATATGACTAAGACACTGAACAAGGCCCTGCCGCTGACCTCACAGTGGGGAGACAGGTGAGTGAGCAAGTGGTCGGGATGCCCTGATACACATAGCGTAGGTAAACACTCGGGGGCTCATGTCAGGGAGTGTCAACCAGGGTCGGGGGGTGGTCAGAAAGGCGTCTTGACAGAGGTGCAGTCTTTCCACACCTCCTTGTCTTTCTTGACATATAATCGACAAACACAAATTTATACATGGTAATGTGTACAACTTGTTTTATATATACATTGTGGACGCCACAATGATCAAGCGAATCAGCATTTCTATCACCTCACAGAGTTGCCATTTTCTTTTGAGAAGTGGATTCTTAAAGGGAGAAAAGAAGTGAGCTGGCAAGAGATTCACAGGTGGAAGGGAGATGTTCCAGGAAGAGTTTACAGCATGTGCGAGGGACATGAGCCAGAAAGGAAGAGAGATGGGAAGAAGGAAGGGAGAGACAGAGAGGGCCAAGTGACCAGGACCAGGACCAGGAAAGAAAGCTGAGCTCTTTGCATATTTAGGGAACTGCCAGGAGTCCCCAGGCTGGAATGTGAAGTTCAAGGCCTGGAGCAGAGGGAGCTGAGACTGGAACAGTAGGATGGACCAGTTCAAGAGGGGCTTCATGGAGCTGGGGCTTCATCCTGATGGGGTTCAGGACATATTGCCCCTGAAAATAGAAAATTGGCATTTGAGAAAACAGCAAAAGCAGAAAGGCCACTCTCACCTTCCCTTGTTCTACCCTTCTCTCTGAGGCCGGTCATCAGTCCCAGGAAGGATTTCCTGACTTTCCCCTGAAGTAGGACATTGGACCCTGGTGTGAGTGATGCCCGCATACTCAGAGGAAAGGAACATCCTTTTTCTGAAGACACAAGGACACAGAGGAGAATCTGAGCCAACAGATGTGGTGACATTCCCTCCAGGTTATCACCCGCTTTGCTCGGTCATGCCTCTCCATGACTGTCCACTCTTCATCCAATCGAGCATAGCAAATACACAGGTTTCCCTGTTTCTCTGGTTCTTCATTTCCCCTCAAAGGCTTCTGTGTCATGTAAAACTTATATTCTATGCGTTTGTATGTTCTTCTCTTGTTCATCTGTCCTTCATTATAGGGGCCTCAGCCATGAATCTAGCAGTGGGTGAAGACATCTTGCCAGCCCTACAATTCCAAAAGCAACAAAGGACTCTTGAGGGTTGTGAGCAACACAGTCATTGGGGAACACCAGATGGCTACTGAGGTTTCTCCAGTGGTCCACAGGTGCCAGCTTCTTTCACTGTAAGGTGGGTCAAGTGGTTCACCCGTGTGTGTTCAAGTGGGGCCCAGAGCTGCCTCCACAGGCAGGGTCCCTTTCCAGTCTCCCTGCTCTTTCATGGGCCACGTTCCCAACCTCTGAAGACTTTCTGAGCCTACCCTACCCCAAGTTTCCTTTTCTTCAGGGTTAACATGTCTAATCCCTTCTCCATTTCTCTAGAAAAGTGAGTTGTCTACACCACAGGCATTCCTTCAGCCTCTGGGTGTAGATGGAGCATACAGATCTTGTCCTCATGGGCAGTGTAGATGTTTACAGACACTGAGCCCACTTGATCTGCTGTTTCATGATCCAACTCAGACATTTGCTCTTTGGTTAACTCATTCACCCACAGCCGCTCGGTGGCCGGCCTTTTTCTCTTCTGTTTTGCCCATTCCCCTGAGAACATACACTTTTTATATTGCTTTGGTTAAGCCTCAAGCATAATCATTTGGTTTCTTTATACAGCTTCTTTCTCTGAAGCTAGGACTACCCTAGTTTAGATACCCTAATGTCCACCAGCAACATGGCATCATGGTAAGGAATGGTCCTGCCAGTCAGAAAGACCAGAGTTTAAATTTTGGCTGAATTATGTAATACTTGTGTGACTTCAGGCAAGTGATTGAAACTCTTTGAGCTTCTGTTTCTTCATCTCTATAAGGCCATCAATATCTAGCTTTGTGAGCTGTGAAGATCTCAGTTAATACAGGTAACATCCTTGGTGTATAGTAGCACAAGAGATCCAATGCCTATTAAAAACAGAAGTGACAGCGGTAATAGCAATCATGATCTCGCTTTTCTACTTATAATCTGGGTCTCATTATTTAATCAGAGCCTCAGTTTCTCCATGTATTAAAAAAGAATAATAGCAACTCTTTGGCAGAGTTATTTGAGGATTCAATGGGATAAAAGCACATGTGGCACACAGTAGGCTCTTCAAGCACAAATGTGTCCTTGGCTTTTGCCCTCCAGTGGATTCTCCTGCCCTCTTGAGCGATCACCTTTGCTGCTAGGCTTTCGCCTCCATCTCCAGATGTTCCTGTCGGGGTCCCAGGCTCTTTCTGGGTGAACATCCTCTGAGAACATCAGGATCCCCTTTTTGGTTGACCAAGATCAAAGAGTTATTTTTCTGTCCCTGTTTTTCTCTTTCCTGGCTGCTAGGGGTTGAATTGTGTCTTCCTTCCCCATGAAAGGGTATGTGGGAGTCCTATCTCCTTGCACCTGCGAATGTGACTTTATTTGGAAATAAGATCTTTGCAGATTTCATCAAGTTAAGATGAGGTCATGAAGGTGAGCCCTGATACAATATGACTGCTGTTTTTGTAAAAGGGGAAGAGAACTCTGTGTGAAAGAGACGCAGAGGGAGAAGGCGGCCCTGTGAAGATGGAGGCACAGGTGTGAGAGATGCTGCCACAAGCCCAGGAATGCCCGGGGCTGCTGGAAGCTGAAAGAGGCAAGGAAGGATCCTCCCCTTGAAGGTTCAGAAAGAGCGTGGCCCTGCCAGCACCTTGATTTCAGACTGCTGGCCTCCAGAACTGTAAGAAAATCTATTTCTGTCATCTGAAGCCACCCAGTTTATGGTACTTTGTAACAGCAGCTCTGGGAAGCTGACACAGTGGCCCCACTACTAGTTAGAGTCCATAGGACTGGAAGTTCTATTAGTTTGTAAAATAAACATTCCTAAAGCCCACCTTTAACGTGGAAAACCTGGTGACTCAAATTAGAGATGTATTACATGATTATATAGAAATTGAAATAGATTGGATGGAATAGGGGCAGGTGATTAAGAAGAAAAGAAAATTGCCTAAAAAGGCCCAAGCCACCACCTTGCTCATGGATAAGAGAAAACAACTTGTAAAAGTTGAAAGGGACTCAAATGAATGTCAGGGCAGGAAGAGTGATGGGGGCCATAATTCAACGGTCTTGGGGGAGCTGGCATTTTCATGCTGATTAATCTAAGATTTCGGCTTGAACAAGGGATAAGGTTTACAGACTAAAAATTAGCCACAAGGTATAACTTTACCTCTGGCTTAACAGAAGACTGAAAGAATAAAGCAAGCAGCTGTGTCAGAACTTGCCAGGCAATGTGAAATACTGTGGTTTGAACAAAGCTGAGTTGGGCTGAGAATGAATTACAGGAAGAAAGGCAGGAAGAAAAAGAAAGAGCTCTGGGGCTATTTATTCTTTGTGTACAGGACGCATTGAAGAAAGTACTGAGTCCCACGTCACCAACCCAGCTGGAAAACGTGGGGGCAACCAAAGCACAGAGAACATGAGTCACCAGCTCCTCACTCTCAGGAGCTCCATATTTGGGAGCCCAGCAAAGGGCTTATCATTTTTCGGATGGAGTCCCATGGGTTCTGGGGCTGCTGCTAGCTTCAGCTAAATGTGGTGCGTGTCTTCAAAATTAGAACTGACAATGGTGACCTTGGAGTCTTGCAACCTAGTGTTTCAGGGGAAAATAGTACCTAGATCTCAGCAGAGTGGGGATAGAGGAAGACATGGAGCTGCATGCTGTTGCCCGTGCATCAGCCAATCAGTTGGTCAGCCCTCTTGAACTGTTTAAGACTACCATGGACATTTGCTGTTTTCACCTACCCAGCATCTGTTCCTCCTCTGCTTCTAGGAACCATCTTTTGACTTTCTTTTGGGAGACTTGCATTTCTCTCTTCTTAGACCCTGGTGCCAGGGGTGGGTGCATGGCCACAGTCTGGACAATCAGAGTATTCCATTGTCCTGGGGGCTGCAACTGGTTTAGGGAAGGGTCATAGCACAAGTCAGCCCAAACAGAGTTCATCCTAGGGACTTTTACAAAAGCTACTGGGGACAAGATGCCGTCAGCTGGGTTGCTGGGAGGATGCGGGTGTGTGGAGCTGCATGTGACCATCTTGCTATGGGTTCAAAGAGGGACCATGTCCTGATGAGGTGGAGCCCCTGTATCCACTTGTGCCTGAAGCTCTTTTCTGCTACCCAAGCTGACATACTCCATCCTTTTGTTTTCTTTTACTGGCAAGCTAAAGAGTTCTGACTAATACACAGATCTCAGTAGGGCACAGTAGGTGCCATAGCAAACATCACACAAATATATGGAAGCCAAAGAGAAAATGCATATGGTATGGTGGGTCTGAAGTCAGATAGAGGAGACATGGACACAGGAATAGTCCAGAGTATTTTAGAATACTTACAAGTATTTCAAAACACATAAAATAAGGGTATTACTCCCTTAAATCCTTCTGGAATGAGGGAATAAAAACAAATATGGTTTTTAAAAGGAAACCATAGTAATTTAGTAAGAACTTCTCAAGGGGCTAGAAAAATTTAAAAAAAAATTAAAAACCAATAGTAATTTGAATTCTTCTTGCAGTAATATGGTATAATAGCAACAACAACAACAATAATAAATCAGCCAAAACGCAAGAACTGTGGGTGTCGTGAAGTCTCCGACCTAGGGTGACGAATTCATCCTGGTTGGTCTGGGACTGTCCCTGTTTTAAAACTGAACGCTCTAATTTCTGGGATGCCTTTAGTCTTGGGCAGACCTGAATGGTCAGTCACATGTTTTCAGGTCATTTTACTTTTCTGAGCCTTGGTTTCTTCATCAATGAATGGGGCGTATGTGGCAGGAGGAGGAGGTGGTGATAGAAACATCCATGCTTTTCAAACCATATTTTTGAGAGCTTTAGGTTTTTTTTTTTAATTATTTTTTTGAGACAGAGTCTCGCTCTGTCGCCCAGGCTGGAGGGCAGTGGCGCGATCTCCGCTCACTGCAAGCTCCGCCTCCTGTGTTCACACCATTCTCCTGCCTCAGCCTCCCCAGTAGCTGGGACTACAGGCACCCGCCACCACGCCCGGCTAATTTTTTGTATTTTTTAGTAGAGACGGGGTTTCACCGTGTTAGCCAGGATGGTCTCGATCTCCTGACCTCGTGATCTGCCCACCTTGGCCTCCCAAAGTCCTGGGATTGCAGGCGTGAGCCACCATGCCCGGCCGAGAGCTCTAGATTTTTACTAAGAGCTGCAACAGCCACTGCAGAAAGGAAAGTATGAAGCAACCTCCACTCCATTTCTGCTGCAGTTGGAGTTTCTCTTGTATGTGTTTCAATTGAGATCTGCCTAACATTTGTTAGGGGAGTGGGGAAACCTGCTCTCCGAGGGACCACCCTCTAGAATTCCATGATTTTTTCTCTTTGTTATGGGGCAAATGGCTCTTATAGACCACTGGTTCCCACACCTGACGGATCCTAAGAGTCACCTGGGAAGTCTTAAAACTAAATACTGCCTGCCACACCTGGATATTTCTACTCCGTTGGAATTGGGTGGAGCCAGGGATCTGTATTTTTACAAAATCTTTGCAGGTGACATACATATAAATTATTCACAAATGTCGGTATGCTAACTATCATTAATAATATATTACTTTCCACACATCTCGCAAATGGCCAGGACACATCATTGTTTGAGACACCATGTTCCCATACATCTTAAATTTTCCGTGCATCAGGAAAGCTTGTTAAAACACAGATGGCTGGGCACCACCCCCAGGGTTTCTGTTTCAGTAAGGCTGGGCGGGGCTGGAATTTGCATTCCTAAGATACTCCCAGGTGGGCATCTGCCACCTTCAGTAGCATCATTTTAGACCACAGGCTCACTTGAGTGTCTTGACTGGTCTCTTTAATCGTTGGCATCATCATAACCCACCCCCCCCACCCTTTCCCCTCCCCCTGGTATAGCACTCAGTAAATTATTGATGAATAAATGTGTGGATAAATGTTTTATGGCCTGAATGACGTGACCTTTCAACCATCTTTCTAAAGAATATTGTGAATTACACCCCTTCGCATGTAAGAAAAGTTTCTGCTGGTATCTAAGGAATATTGTCTCATGGGACCTCAGCTGAGGACATGGGTGGGGCAACAGGATTTCCTGCTCTCAGCTTTAGAGACTGTGCTGAATACAATGAGGTGACTGAGGCCTTCTGTTCCGGAGCCTCTAGCCAAGCCCACTGGGGTCTCGTTGAGCCACCATTTTTTGGAGCTCCATTTTGCTTCGTTTTTCACTTTTGAAGGCCGGCAGATTTCCTTTTCACCCACCAATTCCTTCCAGGCTTTCTTTAGCATGTTGTCATATTTAAGTCTTTAAATTGATTTGCTGGGACATTACACAAGCGTCTTCTGGCTGCTCTAACCCTTTACTCCTGTGGATAAACTTGTCATTATCCCTCTGGAAGCCCCAAATGACCACTCCAACCCCTGCGCAGGCCCTGATCACACCCGCATCCTTTGGCTTGTTTTTCTTCTCCGTTGGTGCTGCCACAGCGGCAGGCAGCTTGGCACTGTCTTTCCACACATCTTCCGTAGTCTGAGAAATGTTTCTTGGACTACAGAGACCTATTCATGGCCACAACCCAGATCTCAAGGCTAGGCACACCCCAAATAAAGTTAGAAAGGAAGAGAAAGCCACTGACCATTATTAACCTCTAAATAGGGAGCGCCCAGTCCAAGTTCTGCAGGAACATTCAGAGGGTGTTTAACTGGCTTTGCAACTTTTATGTAACTACTTGGAATCAGAAACAACACCCAGAAAATAAATACAAATAATAAAGTAACTTTTAAAAAAGATTCACTCTCTTTTCAGGCGCTTGCTTCGGTGCTGATCATGCAGACCTCGATTAATTAGTATTCAGTCCCAATGACCCTAAGAAAACAAGATGTGTGCACAAACAGGCAGGAAGCAGTCCTTGGAAAGAGAGTTTGGTTCTGACCAGAACCTATACTTATGGAGAAGTAATCTTTTCTACGTCAGTTCTACAAGATCGGCCTAGCTGAATGGCAGTGAGTCTGCGGTGATGAGTGAAAGCAGCCTTCCCTGCCTTTCTTCCACCCAGGCAGTCCCTGTGGGTCCCGCCTCCAGAGGCAGCCATTCAACTAAAGAAGCTATGGGGCCGCATGGTGGCTCACGCCTGTAATCTCAGCACTTTGGGAGGCCAAGGCGGGCGGATCACGAGGTCAGGAGATCGAGATCATCCTGGCCAACATGGTGAAACCCCGTCTCTACTAAAATACAAAAAATTAGCCGGGCGTGCGTGCTGCATGCCTGTAGTCCCAGCTACTCGGGAGGCTGAGGCAGGGGAATCGCTTGAATCCGGAAGGCGGAGGTTGCAGTGAGCTGAGATCACGCCACTGCACTCCCAGCCTGGCGACAGAGCAAGACTCCGTCAAAAAAAAAAAAAAAAAAAAAAAAAAAGCAATGGCTCTGCTGTTACATAACGTCAGCAGCACTGTAGGAATAACACCTTTTCCCTGATGTCAGAAGCTGCAGAAACGCCTGCCAGTGCAGAACGCTCCTCCAGTGCAAACTGGTCTGGAAGGCTTGGCCATGTGTGCCCTGGAAAGTTCTGGAATCTTTTTGGTGTTGGATTAATGGCATTCATGTTTCAGAAAACACCTCCAAACCTAGTTAACAGGAAAACTGTTAGAGAATAAATAAAACGGAGCGTTTAAAAAGTTTTCCACTGAGAAGCAGTTTGAAGAGTCAAGTCACCCTAGAGGAAAGCTGGGTATTTTCTTGTAGGTAGCCTTGGAGGCTTTTGTGAACATGGCGGGTGGTGGTTGACAGGGTGGTTGGAGGAAGGAAGAAAAATGACCTGCGTGCCACTCTTAATAATTGCCTCTTGATTTAGAATCAGGACTTTTCCCCCTGGTTTTACAAAATACATGCAGTCTTCCATGTGAAAGATTATGGGATGAATGGTGGGTGGCGGAGTGTTGCAAGGAGAGACTTAAACAACTCTTACCATTCATAAAGACCGAGGAAATTCAAATACTGAGAGAGGGGCTAAGATCACACCATCGGCAGGCAGCAAGAATGAGAAAGGTAGCCTTGCTGTGGCTTAGCTATGCATATTATCATGGGGGAGAGGCAAACTGTGCAATTCTTAAAGTTCATCTTCTTAGTGGTGAGTCAGGAACAAATATTTTGTAGGAGACACGTTAAGTCTGAAAAGCTTAGAGAGACTTGAGAGAGCTTCTGTATATAAAGGAGAGAATTGAAAATTCCTGTTCTACTCCATCCTGTTCTGTTCTCCAGGTGGAGTAGCAAGCTGGCAAGTCCCCCAGAAAGGAAAGGCTAGAGGGGTTACAGAGACAGAGAGCCAGCAAGGGTTTCACGTGGGCAGGGTGGAGAGATGTCAGGGGAAGGTATGTATTTATCTCTGTGTTAGGAAACTCTTGGAGAAACAAGCTGAAGCTTTCTATAAAGCCTTCCTGTTTACCCTTGAAAGAATCAGAAGCAAATGGGCCTTTGCCCAGGAAGCTACAGGGATCATTTGCCATATTTGGATTTCTCTGAGTAAGAGGATAGAGGAAGCCTCTGCCCAATGTCCTGGGATTATGAAGACATACCCAAATGGCTTCAGAGAACAAATGCCTATCTGTCCCTATTTCACTAGTTAACTTTTTGTAAATTCACATTAATAGAGATAACTACAGATATGCCAGTTCAAAGTTATCTGTAAGTTCCTCTCATTCTCTGTACAAACTTCACTTTTGCCCCACATTCTTCTAGACATCTTCCTTTAGAAGGATGACTGGAAGTCATGACAGCAGCTCCTCAAGGGCTGCTTCCGCCATGGTTAAGGCAGAATAGAATACTTTTCTCTTTCATAATATCCCAAACAAGTTGCCACATGTTGTTAACCCTGAACTCCAAGGAAACCCATCCTATAAGATTGGTGTCCAACCTGCGAACCACTGTCTTTGTCATGAAGATGTTCTCCTGTTGAAGGAGTTTAATGTGTTGGTGTACCATTTTGTTGCCAGATAGCAAGTCGTTTGAGACCTGTTTCATGCCATGAGGGACAAACCACATCTTGAAGTGGCGTGGTTGACAGTTGTGTCAAAAAAATAAAACAAGGCATTATCAAATAATCTTCTGAAATTTCTGCCTATATCATGAAAGGAGGATGTTTGATGAGCAGAAGTTGGTGTGGGATTCATAACTAAACTGTCCATCTGTGGGAGAATTCTGCAGGCTTCCATCACTAGTGTGTGACACAGCAAAGAGATGACAGTCCTATTCAGCTCCCAAATCTGTGGTTCCAGGGCACTGCTATTGGAACGAGGCTCAGTCTTGGGTGCCACTCAAAAGGGAAAGTACAGATGGATTAAAGAGTGATCAAGCAAAATAAACCCCCATTAGGGTGAAGAGGGTGTGACATATGAGGAAAGGGTTCAAATGCAGAAAGCATTGTAGAGCAGAAGAAGAACTCCCAAAGGAGAGCATGAGCAAGAGTCTGCCAGGAATTTAAGGAGAGTCTTAGGGAAGAGCAGAAAGTGAATAACCCACACACAGGTGAGAACTGTGTGGTCACCACTTAGCCAGGTGACATGGTTTCCTCTGTGTCCCCACCCAAATCTCATGTCAAAATGTAATTCCCAATGTTGCAGGTGGGGCCTGGTGGGAGGTGATTGTATCATGGGGGCAGATTTTTCCCTGGTTGCTGTTCTCCTGATAGTGAGTGAGTTCTCATGAGATCTGGTTGGTGAGAGAGCACCTCCCTGCTCTCTCTCTTCCTCCTGCTCCAGTCATGGAAGATGAGCTTTCTCCCCTTTCACCTTCTGCTATGATTGAAAGTTTCCTGAGGCCTCCCCAGAAGCTGAGCAGCTGCCAGCATCATGCTTCCTGTATAGCCTGCAGAACCGTGGGCCAATTAAACCTCTTTTCTTTATAAATTACCCAGTCTCAGGTATTTCTTTATAGCAGTGTGAGAACTGACTAATACATCAGGGAAGGCTACCACTCCTTGCCTACATGCAGAATTCAAGAAACAACAATGAGCACTTTGGTCCTCATATTCTGCGGACAATGGAAGAGAAAGAACAGAAAAGGCATAGAGCAGACTGTCCACCCAGATTCTAGAGGTGAGCCAAAGTAAAACTAATGTATCAGCTTGTTTGTGTGTATGACTGTGAGCGTACATGTGTGTGAGGCATGTATGGTACATTTTTCTTATTGCCATTTACTTTTGGTGCACTTAAGCTTTATTCAAAAAGTGAAATAGTGGAGGAATGGTCTCCAGAAATATGCAGCTTGTTCTGGAAATAAGAAAACAAGGCTAAAGGTGCTAAAGGACAGCTGTGTGCTCAGACAGCAGTGTCAGGGGGTCAGAGTTGTAGGGATGGGGGCTCTGGTTAAAGTCCAGCCAAACTCTAGATCATATCCTCTTTATCTTCTGTATTAGGGCATTCTTGCACTGCTATAAGGAAATGCCCGAGACTGGGTTAAATTGGCTCACGGTTCTGCAGGCTTTACAGAAAGCTCAGAGGCTTCTGCTTCTGGGGAGGTCTCAGGAGGCTTACAATCATGGCGGAAGGTAGAGTAGGAGCAGGTACGTCACATGGTGAAAGCAGGAGCAAGAGAGACAGACAGAGTGTCAAGGGGCAGGGGGGAGGTACCATACACTTTTACACAACCAGATCTCACAAGACCTCACTATCACAAATACAGCACCAAGCCATGAGGGATGCACCACCATGATCCAAACACCTCCTACCAGGCCCCACCTTCAGCACTGGAGATTACAATTCAACATGAGATTTTTGGGTGGGGACAAAAACCTAAACTATATCATCCCTATTCACAGCAGATGGTTAGGAAATGCTTATAGCTGATGAGAGAACAAAAACCATGTCATTTTTATTTAAGAAACTTAGGAGTACAAGAAGAACACCTATACAATCTAATTGCGACCCTAAAGAACAACATTCAGCATCACAATGGAAGCTCTAGGAGTTTGTAGGAGGGAGAAAGCATTGGGGGCTGAGATGGGCTGGGGTGTTCAAGAAGTAGGTGGTATGTGAGCTGAGCCTGGCATATGGAGAAAAAGAAGAAATTAGTCTGAGCAAAGGCAGAGGTACAGATATTCAAGGAATATTTGGGAGATTGCATAGAAGAAAAAAGTCTTCATGAATTGTGCTGTGCTGCTTGCAATGAACTGAATGCTTGTATCACCCCCAAATTTATATGTTGAAGTCCCAACCCGCAATGTGATGGTGATAGGAGGGGAGGGCTTTGAGAGGTGATTACATCATGAGGGTGAATCCTCCTGAATGGATGTAGTGCCGTTATGAAAGAGATCCCAGAGAGCTCTCTACCTCTTTTGCTGCCATGTGAGAATACAATGAGAAGGCAGCAATCTGCAACCCAGAGGAGGGCCTCAACAGGCACCCTATTTCAGAATGTTAGTCTCCAGAACTGTAAGAAATAAACATATGATGTTTACAAGCCGCCTAGTCTATAGTACTCGGTTCTAGCAGTCCAAACTTATGAGTACACTGACATAATTCCATTTTCATCCCTCTCTTTCTCTCTCTTCTGTGTGTTCTGCCTCTTGCTTTGCCTTTTCATGTCTTCTGCCATTTATTAGCATGTGTAGACTCAGCTAGTAGCAACCAGGGCTACCATGAGCACTTTGATTCTTATATTCTATGAGCTTCACATCTTATTTTTTTATAGATGCCATTATTTGTTCTTCAAATTATGGTATTAACTGCAGTCACACTATTCTTTCACTATAACTCTTGCTTGCTTTTCTCACCAAAGGGAGATATTTGTGTAGGTGTCAAAATCTGGCACTGCGTTGACTATAGTCATCCAGGAAATAGTCACCTACTCACTTGGGATATGTCATGAGCTGCCAGACCCAAAGATGAAGCTCTTTTATTAAGTGGAAGTGCATTAGCATTTGAGTGTTAATGGAGCAGACCTTTAATAAACAGTCACCATGTGTGAATTCTATTCTTGGATCTATGGGGACAGAAATGACTAAGAAGTTTACAAAATCTTCATTTATTGGAAGGGACAGATGTCTAACAACTAACAATGCTAATGCTGAAATAAACTATTGCTCTAAGACTCTGTTTCATCTTACTCTACAACCATATGGCAATCTGCATTGATGATGCATAATTTTTAACTTAAAATTGAAAGGATTCTTCTAGCCCTGTTCCCATTTTGAAATCCGTCTTTGAAAAAAAAAATACTAAAAGATATCTAAATTGGTTGCAGTCAATGACTTCATTTCAATGCATAGACTTTGGTGGTGCAACTGATTTGGCATCTACTACAGTTGCTTAGCATTCACAGCTAGCTATTGGACACTCTGCTGCCCTGCCCACTGACATAACCAAAGACCAGAAAACCTGGTGAAAGATAAGATAGAGGTAATCCCATGATTAAAGAGATTGATTAACTACTTTGCATTGGGAGAAGTAGGTGGGAGAAATTTCTTTGTCAGATTTTTTTTAAGCCTAAAAATGGTTTACAATGGGATGATTTCAATTACGGCGAGATGATTCACTATCTAGATCTTATGGAAGAAAATTCTTATGGATTTGTGGATACGTATCCTGAAAAATGAAGGACATCAACAAAGCAAGCCTCATGGAATGGGGGGGAAGTCTGAAATATGCTCATGTGGGGCATTAAGTACCAGACCATAAATGCACTCTGAGTGGTTTAACCTGAGAAAGAAGCAACCTAATGGTGCTTATAGCTCCAAGAAGCTCTGTCTTCAGAACACAACTGGAATGAAAGGCTCCATCTTCTCTGAACCTGAAAAGGGAGGGACCCACCAACAACATCCCCAGTTACGGTTTGAAGAAGGATGCTACTTTGCTCATGTTAGGGTGATGTGAATAGATGCATGAACCTTTTTTGGGGATATGTGAATTCAGATTCCAGTTTGTTCCATTTTGACTGTGTAGTCATTCTAAACCTGAGTATTTTTTTTTCTGCATAATAGTAAGGGCTAAAAAAATCTGTAGGGCTTCCCACAAATTAGGCACTGTTGTAAGCAACAGATATATATATTACCTTATGTAATCTCACAACAATCAAAAGGTAGCAAGCAGTAAAGAGTTCACATAGCAGGTCTGAGACTGCTGTCTCAATCCTGCTTGCAAGGCTGGCCCTTGGCTGGCATCTGGGAACATGTGAGGGGTTCCTGCTGGTCCGTGATATGAGTGGCTCACTGTGACTTAACTGTGTGTGCAAACAACATGGTTTATGCTGAACACCTGCTTTCCTTCTGGGAGTCTGGAATTTGTGTACATGCCAGACAGAGGGTGTCTAAGTGACCAGCTCCAAATCAAAACTCTGGCACTAAGTATCTACTGAGCTTCCCTAGTAGACAACATTTCATACCTGTCATAACTCGTTGCTGGAGGAGTTAAGTATGTCCTGTGTGACTCCCCTAGGAGAGGACTCTTGGTAGCTCATGTCTGGTTTCTTCTGTTGCTTTCCCCTTTGCTGATTCTGATTTGTCTTTGAGGTAATAGAACTTAGCTGTGGGCATGTCTCTATGATGAATCCTGTGGGTCCTCCTAATGAGTCATTGAACCTGGGGGTGGCCTTGGGAATTCCCCCCAAAGGTGTGTGACATTATAATTATCTCCATTTTAAGGTGAGGAAGCTGATTCATGGAGAGGTTAAGTAACTATACCAAGGCCACACAGCAGGTACATGGCACAACTAGGATTTGAACCCAGGCAAGCTGACTCCACAGCTTTTGCTTGTAACCCTTAAGGAGGCTCCAAAGTTCCCTCATTAAGTGGTTGTGAATCAAAGCAGGTGTGTTCACTCAGTACATATTAAGTGCTCAATAAAACATAGTTACTCTACTGTATTAGGATGTAATCTCCCGTCCCTTCTACCTACTAACTAGAAATCTATCATGCATTTTTCGCCATCCCACTAACAAGCAGAAAGTCCCTGAGGCTGAAATATCTTTGAAGAAGAGGGAGAGAAATAGAATGGATGTCATGCTATTTTTTTAAACAATAATAACTATTATGGTACAGTTCCTTTATAAGCCAAATGGAGCCTCTGCATTTCCTCTCCTCTTTCCTTACCTGATCCCTGGCCTCTCTCACCCTGGCACCGGGGTAAGAGCGGTGAGGGTCAGTGTAGCAGGCTGGGCATTCAGAAAAACTGACTGGAGCAAGAGTTGGAGGTGGGTGGGCAGATTTAGGGGAGCTCTTCTCATGATGGCGACTATGTTTTCTGCCACTCACCCCCCAGATGGGAACACGCTGTCTGACAAACAGAGTACTTAATGTTCTGTTTGTTGAAATCATTTCTCAATCACCCTCACCCCTCCCTACCTTTCAAGTGTTCTAGTTAATGCAGAAACATCCCGTTTCTTTCCATTGAGGAAACCAAGTGACCCCAACATTCCATAGACCTATTCTTGTCCTACTTTCAAAAAAAAACAGCTCTTCCTGCTGACCGCCTGCCTATAATAAGTCATAGCTTAGTTAGTAGATCTGAATGTCCTAGTTAGAGATAAGTTGGCTGAAGCACAGTACATCTACGTGTAGAATTTGGAGGAAAGGACTGAAGAAAGATACCGTGATTTAAAAACCTCATCTTCACCCTACACTCCTTGAAATAAGTAGAGAAGCAAAGCTTCTTATGTATAGTAAGAAATATAGATTAAAAGGTGAATAGCAGAAGAGTGGTGGCTTGGAGTTACATTAATTGAAATCAACAAGACCAAATCCTTCCCTGCAAGCACATTTTGATGAGGTAAAACTGGAAGGAGTCCATGGATATTCAGTACTTAAAAAAAAGGCTTGATCATAACAAATGCCAAGAAAAAGAAGAAAGAAAATAAAATGGGGCCGGGCGCAGTGGCTCACGCCTGTAATCCCAGCACTTTGGGAGGCCGAGGTGGGCGGATCACTTTGAGCTCAGGAATTCAAGACTAGCCTGGCCAACATGGTGAAACCCTGTCTCTACTAAAAATACAAAAATTAGGTGGATGTGATGGCATGCATCTGTAGACCCAACTACTCGGGGGGCTGAGGCTGGAGAATCACTTGAGCCCAGGAGGCAGAGGTTGCCGTGAGCCGAGATTGTGCTACTGCACTCCAGCCTGAGTGACAGAGCAAGAGACACAGTCAAAAAAAGAAAGAGGCTGGGCGTGGTGGCTCACACCTGTAATCCCAGCACTTTGGGAGGCCAAGGTGGGCAGATCATGAGGTCAGGAGTTTGAGACCAGCCTGACCAACAAGGTGAAACCCAGTCTCTATTAAAACTACAAAAAGTAACCGGGTGTGGTGGCATGTGCCTGTAACCCCAGCTACTCAGCAGGCTGAAGCAGGAGAATCACTTGAACCTGGGAGGCAGAGGTTGCAGTGAGCCGAGATTGTGCGTGGGTGACAGAGTGAGAGTCTGAGAAAGAAGGAAGGAAGGAAGGAAGGAAGGAAAGAAAGAAAGAAAGAGAAAGAAAGAAAGGAGAAAGACAGAGAGAAAGAAAGAAAGAAATGAAGAAAGAAAGAAAGGGGGAGCAAGACAGAGAGAGAGAGAAATAAAAGAAGAAAGAAAAAAGAAAAAGAAAGGAAGAAAGAAAGAAAAAAGAAAGAAAGAGAGAAAGGAAAAGAAAGAAGAAAGAAAAGGGATTTAGGATGAAAAACTGGTAGTACCAAAGGGTCACTTCATACTTACAGTAGATTTTCTCATGGGATAGCCATTAGAGGTTGGCACTTTAAAAGCAATGTATGAGAGGTGGAAACCAAAACAGAAACTGCCTATCTTGAAGTAAGATGCATTTTAGTCTGATGAAAACCAGCGTCTTCACACCAACAACGTGTGCTGAAAGGATGCACAGCAAGGAGTTGCCTCGTCATTGAATGAGCTCTAAGCAAATGACTTAGGGGACCCAGGCTTCAGTCCTAGCTGTGTCATCTGATCAGTTGCCCAACTTCATGTGAGTTACGTCATCTTTCCCACCGTGATCTCCTCAGTTTCACTATCTGTAGAGTGGGAGATACAATAAACATGCCCCAGGACCACTGTGAAAGTGAAATAATATGAGTCAATGTGCTGTGTTAATTGTAAAATAATATCTAAATCTTGGCTGTTAATATTTTGATCCAATGTTGTTACCTAGCACCAAGATTGAAGAGATAAATCAAACATTAAAAAGAAAACCTAGATTAGTTTTTGCTGTACTGAACATTAAGAAAGGAGGGTTACCTCGAGAGGAGAACCGTATAAAGCTCAATTAAAATGGAAAGGGCACTGCAGTGGACTCTATGATTGGTCAAAATATTAGGCTTTCTTCATTAATCCTTCCTCCTTGGTTTGTCTGGTTAAAATCACACACAGTGGTCTGAAAGTGCAGTGGGCATCAATTAAGATTTAGGTCAGAGCCTCTGAGGTAGCCAGTGATTTAGTTTCTGGGATTAAGGAAGACAAAAGCTTACCGATGGCTGGATGAGAATAACATTCCTTTCTATTGTGATCATCCTACATCAAGGAAATGTTTGAAATTTAGGGAGTCTGTTAAAGTTATTATATGGCCGAGCTTTTGAAAAACACAGCAGCACAAATGTGTTTTATCAGTCTTTACTGTTGGTAAGAATCCTGGAGAAAGGAAATTTGATCAGTCTCCCAATGCAGTTTACTCCAAAATGGATCACTAGTCTAGAGGACCAACTGCATCTATCAGAGTCAGATCTATCTGCCAAGACTCCCCACTTCCCTCACCATCATTCACACATCCTGTGCTTTCTTTGCAAATGATACAGACTGTCATTAGGTTTAGAGTAAGCTGCAATTAGCAAGTCTCTCAACTTCTCTTACAAGGAACTTATTTTTAGTGGAAAGTTTTGTAATGGTTCCTGTCTAATGTTTAACTCTTCCCTGGAGACCAAACTCCCTAGCTCAATCATTGACAGCAGGATTCCAGGAGTGAATGGCATCCCTTTGAACCAACTAGTGACTGTAATTGCTTAAACCTAGCTACTAGCCATTTCGGCACCTTCTACACAGCACCCCTTGCAAATAAGTCCGGCAGAGCTATGGAATTTTGGCCTTTTTGTCTGAACTCTCGGGATTGTATGAGACTGGACCTTGGTTCTTAAAAGGGCTCTTCAGTGTGGTCAGGGCTGGTGATCAAAAGCATCAGTCTCAGCACCTAGTCACATGTGTTTTTCGTGTTTTCGTGGATGAGGCTGGTTCTGTGCTTGCCAAGGTCAAGCAACTCAATTACCCAGGGCCTGCTTGGAAGCTACTGTGCGCAGTCTGGCCCTCAGTGGCTTCTCCCCTTGCCCTTGGGCCCTGATGGCTGTTTGCAAGCTGGGAAGAAGACACCAGGGCTGGGGGGTACCCAGAAACCCAAACAGATGGAGAAAAGTTTCAAAAAGGCAAAACAATGAAGATTTGCTTAATTTACAGATAAAATAAAATAAACATAATTTAATCTATCAACTATATTTATTCCTGTGGTTCTTCATTAGCACAGAAAAATTAAGAATTGTTTATATTTTAAGAGTAATACAATGAATCTTTCTTCTATTCCTGAATGAGTCACACCGAAGTAACTACCACAACTCTTGGATACGCTACTAATCAACACACAATAAAACAAATGATCGCCATGGTTTTCCAACTTTAAACCCACTTGGAAAAAGTTCCATGCTGGTGGGAGCTACACCACCACGTAGCTCCATACGAATTTGTTGACTGATGACTGACACACAGAAGGGTCTACAGAATAATAAAGGAAAGCTAACTTTAAAAAACCCTCCTTCTATTTCATTTGAGTGCTTGTACATATCTGCTTATGTTTATCATCTAGTCATGAAATATCATTTCGGCTTTCTTTACAGAGGTTGGGGTGAATTTAACTGGATCATTTCATGTATCCTATAAGCCTTTGGGTTTTGTTTTTTTCTTGATCTTCTGGAATTCTTTTTTCTGTCAAACCCTACTCATTCTTTACATCCCTTCTCTTTTATGAAAACTCATTCCCTCTCCTCCTCTTCCTCCCACTAGCTAATATGTATTGAGCACTTAATGTGTCAGATACCACTTTAGGTGCTGTGTGTGTGTTGACTCATGTAACATTCAAAATCATCCATTGACTCATAAAACCTTCAAAACCACCGGTGAGGTAGGGCTCTTATTACCTCCTTTGTGCAGATGAGAAACAGAGAAACAGAAAAGTAAAGTAATTTGCTCAATAGCACATGGCAGGTGGGTGGTACAGGTTGGATTTGAACTCAGGCAGTTGGTTCTCTCTTAAGCACTCCAACCTTCTTGAATCTGTCCATTTCCTGAACCCTGATGATCATTTCCCCAACTTATGTTGCTTGATAGTTGCTTTGTGAATGTTCCCATGCTGCAGAGAAAGAATCTCCTTAGAGAGTATGCCATGACTTTCTTACATTGCTTAGAACTTTTTTTTTGCTTTGCCATTTATTTTTATCAATTATTTATTAACAAATTAACAAAACAAGAAAACAAGCCAAAACAAAAATGGTCAAAAGATAAGCCTGACGAGGGGAGAAGAATTATTATTTTTAAGTAAAATAATCTTAAAAACACATTCCTACTGTTAAATTTTATTAGGAACTCCCCATTTCTCCAACCATTGCTCCTGTGTACTACACAACCTGGCATGCATGAGTGATTGTGCACGTGTACACACACAGAGTTTTTAAAATTTGAGCCAGTTTTCAATCACAAAGCAACGTAAACTCATTTTTAAATATCTAAAGACAGACAATGTCTACTGCAGAAAGTGAACCTGTCTTATAAACCCAATCCCAAAACATTTAAAAATATTTGGGAGTCTATATTTTGCTAGACTTTTATTCTACAATGAGATAGATAAAAATGGGCTTGTACTGTATGTTCTTTTGCATTTGTTGCTTTGTATTTGATTCACATCTTTTCATATCTTTGTGTATATCCTCTTTCTTCTTTTTCACCAGTAGCACAGTATTCCAAAGTGTGGATTGCCAAATTGTAATAAGGACCCTACTGATGGACTTTTGGATTGTGTTCATGTTTTCAATATCATGCTCAACTGCATTTCACATAGCCTCAAAAGAAAGAAATCTCTGCTAGGTCGAACTCAAATAGGGAGTGTTGGGCCAAGTGGCTCTTCTGTGCAATTAAGAAAGAAATTACTCAGCAGATAGAAAGTATGACATAGAAGAGGCTAACACTTCTCTAACTGGGTATTCAGGGAATATCATTAGGGATGTCAACTGAGGTATATAAAGAGTCTTTTCCCTAAGGAACATTTCGTTTAATGATGAAATAGACACATCTCTCTGCTAAATCATGCTTGTGGGAACCCAAGGAGGCCAGCCCCTGAATCACAGGCCTGCTTAGAGTAAAACGCTGCACCGAAGCTCTGCTGACGTTTTCCTATGCTGAAGCAAGAAGTGAGGAACATTGTCTTTGAAAAATGCTCTGACCAAAACCATTCTTTGCTCTGCTATGTAGAGTAGAGCTTTGTTTTTCAATCAGGCTGTTATTCAAATGCTGGAGCGGATCCAAATTTGCTTTCCTGAGGAAAAGTCTGCCTTTGCCTACAGCACGCACACACGGCTGGAGGACGGCTCCCACCCCTGTCCTCCCAAGACCTGCATTCCAGTCCAAATGGTTCCCTCACCGACCCACTAGGTGCACAAGGCTCTCCTCAAGCCGCCTTTTCTTCCCCTCACAATCTCCTCATGCTTTTCTGTGTCCTTCCCGTTTTGCAAGGGCCATACCAGCTTCACTTCTGAGCAGGCTTCCCTGCTTACAGAGAGCTTCTTTCCCTGCCTGGTAGCACCCGTCCCTCACGCTCACTGGATGATCCACTCACTGGCTCACTCACTCGTTCCTTCAGCAGATGTCCCTCCAGCACCTCCCATGTGCCAAGAACACAGCAGGGGACAAAATAACGTCCTTCACCCACCCACGGAGCCAACGGTTCAGAGGCAGAAACAGACCATAAGCCAGTACGTCAGTCTGCACGGCGTCGGGTGGTGTTGAGGACAGGTGACAACGGGGAGGGTGACAGAGGTGACCCCGTGGCCATTTTGCATGGCATGTGAGGGAGGGCTGGCGGATTGGGTGACTTGTGGCCCAGAGCTGAATGAGGAAGGGGACGGAGCCTGGCAGGGATCTCCCAGAAGGTCCTTCCAGGCAGAGGGACTGTCAGTGCAAACGTCCGGTGTTGGGCACTTTCTTGGCCTTCTGGGGGAACATCAAAGAGGCCACTTAGCTCCTTTTAAAAAAAGACTATTTTTTAGAGCACTTTTGGGTTCACAGCAAAATTGAGAAAAAGGTACAGAGATTTCCCATATACCTCCTGCTCCCACATGCACACAGGCTCTCCCACTGTCGACCTCCCTCCACAGACTGGCACATTTGCTACAATCAATAAACCTGCATTGACACATCATTATGACCCCAAGTCTATAGTTGACAGTAGGGTTCGCACCTGGTGGTGTACATTCTATGGGATTGGGCAAATGCACAGTGACACGCTTCTACCACTATCGTATCACGCAGAGGACTTTCACTGCCCTCAAATCTTCCATGCCTCACCTATTCATCCCTCCCTCCTTGCAGTCCCTGGGAACCCCTGATCTTTTTACTGGTACCCTAGTTTTATCTTTTCCAGAACGTTCTAGTTAGAATCATACAATATACAGCTTTTTCAGATTGGCTTCTTTCACTTAGCAACATATTTAGCTATTTTTTAAATGTGATTTTTGTTTTACAAACGTATTTGTTCTTTCTTCAACTCAAATGTAAGATTTTTTAGAGCAATGGGTTGAAGGTTGTAGATAACAGGTGAGAAATCGTGATGACGCTTTCTTAGAAGAATTCCCCTCTTTGAGGTACATCAACGTGTGCTACACATCCCTGTGTCCTCCAGCCCTTACCTAAAACTTTAATTGGATTATTAGCCCTAGCCTGTGACATGCAAATATTCTAATTAAAGGCTGTTTTTTTTCTTTTTAAAAAAATTCAGTGGATACATAGTAGGTGTATATATTTATGGGTTATATGAGATGTTTTGATACAGGCATGCAATGTGTAATAATCACATCAGGGTACATGGGGTCTCCATCACCTCAAGCATTTATCCTCTGTGTTACAAACAATCCAATTACAATATTTTAGTTATTTTTTAATGTACAATTAAATTATTTTCGACTACGGTCATCCTGTTGTGCTAGCAAATACTAGGTCTTACTCATTCTTTCTATGACTTGTACTCATTATCTATCTCCCCTACCTGCCCCCCATAATCCCCCCCACCCACAACGCTACCCTTCCCAGCCCCTGGTAACCATCCCTCTATTGTCTGTCTTTATGAGTTCAATTATTTTAATTTTTAGCTCCCACAAGTAAGTGAGAACATGTGAAATTTGTCTTTCTGTGCCTGGTTTATTTCACTTAACATAATGACCACTAGTTCCATCCATGTTGCTGCAAATGACTGGATCTCATTCTTTTTTATGGGTGAATAGTACTCCATTGTGTATATGTACCACATTTCCTTTATCCATTTATTTGTTGATGGACACTTAGGTTTCTTCCAAATCTTGGCACTTGTGAAGAGTGCTGCAATAAACACAGGACTGCAGATATGTCTTTAATATATTGATTTCCTTTCTTTTGGGTATATGTGAGTGGGATTGCTGGATCATATGACAGCTCTATTTTTAGTTTTTTGAGGAACCTCCAAACTGTTCTCCACAGTGGTTATACTAATTTACATTCCCACTAACAGTATATGAGGGTTCCCTTTTCTTCACATCCTCAGTAGAATTTGTTATTGCCTGACTTTTGCATATAAGCCATTTTAACTGTGGTGAAATGATATCTCATTGTAGTTTTGATTTGCATTTCTCTGAGGATCAGTGATGTTGAGCACCTATTCATATACCTGCTTGCCATTTGTATTTTTCCTTTTGAGAAATAAGCCTGATATTCTTTCAGGGCATAAATTAAGAATGCAACCCTCCTCTGCCCATGGCCACATATATCATGTAAGAGCAATCTGGCATAGATACTCCAATTCATTTTTTTTAAATGGATTCTCAGTTCTAAACAACATAAACCAATGTCTTTATTTTTAATGCTTGTCTTTGCTTCAGTCAAAAAAACTCCAAAACACAATGAAGGAAGAGGCCAATTGAGTAAACCAGTTACTTAAAGCTAACAAAGAAACAGACATCATCAAGCAGTTCTGTCTTCCCAAATCAATTCTTTTGAAATCAAACACCTTCGTTAAGTGGTTCCTTGAACTGTTTTGCCATAAAAATTAAAAAAAAAAAACTCATGAAGAAAATGAAATAATCATGTACAAAATACCTTTGTCACTTTATTTTTAATACAATTGTATGCAATTTGTTAATTTTCATCATCCTTTATAACTGAATTATATGTGCTTTTGAAAGCTACATAATGAATAACATGTTGTATATAATTGTTAAAATGTGTCTATGGTCATCATATAATTTAGACCTGAGGTCCTCAGTAGAAGACAAAGTCCAGGAAGTCAGAACCTCTGTTCCTCTTTTCACTATACCCCAATACCATATGTATATGGGAGAATGGATTTGATTGACTTGAGTTGTATCTGCAGTGCTTCTTGAAGGCATGAAAACTACTGCGAGTGTTTTAATTACTCAAACCTCCACCCTTCCATATGTAAGCTTCTTGAAAATAGGGATTTTGTCTGGCTGGCTTTCCTGCTGAATCCCCAGCACCTAATATGGTGCCTGGCCCATACAGAGTCCTTAACAGATGTTCAATAAATATTAATATCTACTAAATTATTTTCTGAAATGGATACAGTATCTGAGATGGTTAATTTTACGTGTTAACTTGGCTAAGCCAAGGTACCTAGATATTGATCAAACATTCTTCTGGATGTCACTGCAAAGCTATCTTCTTTAAAAGATTAACATTTAAATGAGTAGGCTTTGAGCAAAACAAATGACCTTCCATAATGTAGGTGGGCCTCCAATCAGTTGAAGGCCTTAATAGAAAAAAGAGCGACATCCACAGAGCAAGAAGGAATTCAGCTAGCAGAGTGCCTTCGGACTCAAGTAGCAATGTCAGTTCTTCCCTGATCTCCAGCTTGCCAGCCTGCCTTGCTGATTTTGGACTTGCCAGTCTCCATAATTGTGTGAACCAACTTCATAAAATAAATCTCTCTCTCTCTCTCTCTCTCTATATATATATGTATATATATACACACACACATTCCATTGGTTCTGTTTGTCTGGAGAACCCTAATACACCCACCTTACTCCTTTGCTCACTCAATGAATCAATCAATATATGTCATTTGCCAGGGATCACTCTCACCCATCAAGACCTCACAACTACTAAAGCCAAACCAGTGATACAACCCCTGAAGTACACTCTTGACTTTAACTTCTCCACTCCGGTGGAGTGACAAAGAGCATTACTTCCTTAATGTTTCGACGATTATATGATGCAAAGCACCTGCATGAGGAACAGGTGCTGAGAGGACACTGTACTTGCTAAAGCCATGTCCTGATAGTGTGACAGAAGGCACCAGCATACTACTGTGCTTTGAGGAGAAAATGCTTCCCATGGTGAGGCTGAGCTGCTGATAGTCTCACTTCCTCTAAATATTTCCACTCTTTACAAGTGAAGCTGTGGGTGGGGAATTTCAGAGTCATGGAAACTAGTCAAAGGTTACTAAAGGTTCATGGACACTACTATTTGATAACTGTGTGGTAGCTGCATAGTCGCATATGCTATAGAAAAAGGTGAATATAAAAAATACATCAATAGGAAGCTTATAGATGAGCACTATATGAAATTTGGTTCTCTTCAGGATCAAGCAAAGTGATGGACCTTCATGGAACCCAATCTGCTGGTCTGGGGAACAATACTTTTGTAAATTAAGTATTCATATAGAACTTTTCCCCAAGGGCTTATCTGGAGGGGAAGTGACAGTGAGAGTGAAAGCCTTAATTTGCCCACAATCAGCATGGGCTAGCCCAGTCACAAATTGTCTGTCCAGGAAGATTCTTTTTTTTCTTTTTGTTTTTATTTTTTAATCTTGGGGAGTCACTTTAGCCCTTTCTTCCTCTCCCATTTAAGACCCCTTCCCTCCTTTGATGTCCCCTAGCTAAAACCTGCTTCTAACTTGAGGCAAAATTTTCACTTCTCTGCTCAAGTAGTTTGTGCATGAAACAGGGATAAATTTGGTGGCAATTGTGCCTTCTTGAAATCCTAACTCTGAACCATCATTTTTGTCAATGACTTAGCACTGCCAACTGATAGAAATGATAGACTGTCATACATTCATGCAATAGGATACTATACAGCTGTGAAAATGAATTATCAACATCTCTTGGCATCAACATGGATAACACTCAGAAATATCATGTTGACCCTAGAGCAAGTCTTGGAAGAATGCTTATGTATGATTATATTTACTTACAGTTCCCAAACAGGCAGAAATTGACTATATGCAAATTGTATATATACCTATGCATATATGTCTATGCATACACTTAGACCTAGGAGGCCAATCAAAAAGTAAAGTAAGGGAATGACTAACAAAATTTTAAGACAATAGTTCCTTTTGTGGTAGGTGATATAATTTGGATGTTTGTCTCCTCCAAATCTCACGCTGAAATGTGATCCACAGTGTTAGAGGTGGGGCCTAGTAGGAGGTATTGGATTATGGGGGCAGATCCCTCATGAGTGGCTTAGTGCTGTCCCTTTGATGGTGAGTGAGTTTTCACTCAGTTAACGCACCCAAGATCTGGTTGTTTAAAGGACTCTGGGACCTCTCCCTTCTGTCCTTTTCTCTCTCTCTTGCCATGTCATATGCTGGCTCCTCCTTCCGCCATGATTGTAACCTTCCTGAGGCCTCACCCGAAGCAGATGCCAGCACCATGCTTTCTGTATACCCTGCAGAACCATAAGTCAATCAACCCTTTTTTCTTTTTTCTTTCTTTTTTTTGAGACGGAGTCTCACTCTATCACTCAGGCTGGAGTGCAGTGGCGTGATCTCGGCTCACTGCAAGCTCCGCCTCCCGGGTTCATGCCATTCTCCTGCCTTAGCCTCCTGAGTAGCTGGGACTACAGGCGCCCGTCACCACACCCAGCTAATTTTTTGTATTTTTAGTAGAGACGGGCTTTCACTGTGTTAGCCAGGGTGGTCTCGATCTCCTGACCTCGTGATCCGCCCGTCTCGGCCTCCCAAAGTGCTGGGATTACTGGCGTGAGCCACCGTGCCCGGTCCCCACTTTTTTTCTTTATAAATTACCCAGCCTTGGGTATTTCTTTATAGTGATGCAAAACGGACTAACACAGAAAATTGAAAATTGGTACTGAGAAGTGGAGCATTGCTATAAAGATAACTGAAAATGTGGAAGTGACTTTGGAACGGGGTAAGGGAGAGGCTGGAAGAGTTTAAAGGACTCAGAAAAAGACAGGAAGATGAGGGAAAGTTTGGAACTTCTTAGAGACTGGTTAAATGGTTGTGACCAAAATACTGATACAGATATGGACAGTGAAGTTCTGGCTGATGAGGTCTCAGATGGAAATGAGAAAGTTTTTGGGAAATGGAATGGGGTCATTCTTATTATGCCCTAACAAAGAACTTGGTTGCACTGTATGCTCTAGGGATCTGTGGAAGTTTGAACTTAAGAGTGATGACCCAGGCTACCTAGTAGAGGAAATTTCTAAGCAGCAAAGCATTCAAGAGGTGACTTGGCTACTTCCAGCAACCTAAATCAGATATGGGAGCAAAGAAGTGACTTAACATTGAAATTTATATTTAAAAGGGAAACAGAGTGTAAAAGTTTGTAAAATTTGCAGCCTGGCTCTGTGGTAGAGAAAGAATCCAAGCAGGTTGTGAAACATTCACTTGCTAGAGAGATGAGCATAACTAAAAGGAAGCCAATATCCAAGACAAGGCAAAAACCCTCCAAAGGCATTTCAAAAATCTTGAGGACAGCCCCTCCCATCAAAGGCCCAGAGGCTTAGGAGAAAAGAATGGTTTCAGGGGCCAGGCCCAGGGCCCTACTGCCCTGCTGAGCTTCAGACTCTGGCTTCAGCCTCAGCTCAAAGGGGCCCAGGTACAGCTCTGGCCACAGTTCTGGAGGACACAAGCCATAAGCCTTGGTGATTGCCACATGGGGTTAAGTCTGCAGATGCTCAGAACGCAAGTGTGAAGAAGGCTTGGTGGCTTCCACCTAGATTCCAGAGGATGTATGGGAAAGCCTGGGTGCTCAGGCAGAAGCCTACTGCAGAGGCAGAGGCCCCACAGAAAAACTCTACTAGGAAAATGCCAGGGGAAATGTGGGGTTGGAGCTCCTACACAGAGTCCCCACCAGGGCACTACCTAGTGGAGCTGCGGAAAGGGGGCTGCCACCCTCTAGAACCCAGAATAGCAGATTCACTGGCAGCTTGCACCCTTTAACTGGAAAAGCAACAAGCACTCAACTTAAACCCATGAGAGCAGCCATGTGGGCTGCATCCTGCAAAGCCACAGGGCCAGAGCTGCTCAAGGCCTTAGGAGTCCACTGTTATAACAGTGTGCCCTAAATGTAGGACTTGGAGTCAAAGGAGATTGTATTTTGGACCTTTAAGATTTAATGACTACCCTGCTAGGTTTCAGATTTGTGTGGGGCCCCTATACCCTTTCTTTTGGCCAATTTCTCCCTTTTGGAATGGTAATGTTTGCCCAATATCTGTACCATCATTGTACCTTGGAAGTAACTAACTTGTTTTGACTTTAGAGTCTCATAGGTGGACAGATTTGAGTCTTAGATGAGACACGACTTTGTACTTGATGCTGGAATCAATTCAGACTTCGGGAGACTACTGGGAGAAGATGATTGTATTTTGCAATGTGAGAAGGACATCAGATTTGGGAAGCCAGGGGCAGAATGATATGGTTTAAACATTTGTCCCCTCCAAGTCTCATGTTGAAATGTGATCCCCAATTTTGGAGGTGGGATCTAGTGGGAGGTATTGGAGCATGCGGGTGGATCCCTTATGAATGAATTAACACCATCTATCTGGTGATGAGTGAGTTCTTCTTCAATTAGTTTACATGAGATCTGGTTGTTTAGGCCAGGCGCAGTGGCTCATGCCTGTAACCCCAGCACTTTGGGAGGCTGAGGTGGGTGGATCACCTGAGGTCAGGAGCTCAAGACCAGCCTGGCCAACATGACAAAACTCCATCTCTGCTAAAAATACAAAATTTTGCTGGGTGTGGTGGCATGCACGTGTAATCCCAGCTACTCAGGAGGCTGAGGCAGGAGAATCACTTGAACCCAGGAAGTGGAGGTTGCGGCAAGCCAAGATTGCACCACTGCACTCCAGCCTGGGTGACAGAGTGAGATTCTGTCTCAAAAAAAAGATCTGATTGTTTAAAAGAGTGTGGCACCTCCCAGCTTTCTTGCTCCCACTCTTGCCATGTGATGCTGGCTCCCCCTTCATCTTTCACCATGACTGTAAGCTTCCAGAGGCCTCACCAGAAGCAGATGCCAGCACCATGCTTCCTATACAGCCTGCAGAACCATGAGCCAATTAAACCTTTTTTCTTTGCAGATTACCCAGCCTCAGGTATTTATAGCCACACAAACATAGACCAACCCAGTGGGCATTGGGAGAGAAGGATACAATTGTTTAGGGGCACACAGCAGGCTTTCAGGGTTGGGTAGTGGGGTAACAGGTGGATGTGTATTTATGTTTTTATTCCTATGATTATTTAGAATATATGGATACCTTATATATACTTTTTTGTAGTATAAAATGTTACAATATTTAAAAATTTTTTCAAGCTAAATTTATCTAAATTATTCACCCTCATGTATCACTTTCCTTGGAAAGTAGAGGGTTTTGTAGCTGTTCAAAAAAATTTATCATTCATTGACCTCTAGTTAAGTGAATTACAGACCTTCACGAACCAGAGCTTCTAATCTGAAGCAAAAGTGAAAAGGAATGCAGATGAAGAAATACCTCCACCCGTCCCCTCAGCTCACATTGCTGAGTTACATCGGAGCCTCATGGATTCTTACTTAGGGTGGAACTACCATACAATGGAGCTTGTGTTGTACCCATTTTTAGGTGTCTATACTACCCTGCATCACTGCTGGGACGTTTGGGAGCCACTGTGGGCAAAGTGAAGTTGTATATTTTGAAGACCAAAAAAGCCTGTAGCTAACAAGGGCAGCTTGGACCCCTGCTTCCTGGGATATCCAAAATCCATACAATTCCAGCCCAGTGGCACAGGCCAGGCAGGCCCTGGGTGGAAGGCACTGGGAGATGCAGCCATGCCCTTGAGGAGCCTGCGTTCTAGTGGGGCTTTCCTAGTCTTCTCTTAATCAAACCCCATTTTCCAGGGTTTGCCATATTCTGTGTGCTGTCAGGACTGTCAGCAACGTTTTTTTCTTTAAATTAACTCACTTTTGGGCCGGGCGCAGTGGCTCATGCCTGTAATCCCAGCACTTTGGGAGGCTAAGGTGGGCGGGTCACCTGAGGTCAGGAGTTCGAGACCAGCTTGGCCAACATGGTGAAACCCCATCTCTACTAAAAACACAAAAATTAGCCAGGTGTGATGGTGGGCACCTGCAATCCCAGCTACTTGGGAGGCTGAGGCAAGAGAATCACTTGAACCTGGGAGGCAGAAGTTGCAGTGAGCCACACTGCACTCTAGCCTGGGTGACAGAGTGAGACTTTGTCTCAAAAATAATAATAGTAATAATAAATTCACTTTTTTAAAACTTAAAGATTTATATTTTAAAAGAAATGTTTATACCATTCCTACAAATTAAAAAAAAAACAGGCCGTTGTGGTTTAATATAAGGTAACCATAAAAAGCAAATACAGGAAAATAAAGCCATGCTATTAATTTGTAGCTAGCTACCAGTGCCTGTTGATGGCTCCTAGCCTCAGATCGACTTTCTCTTGTTAAAACAGTAAGGAGCCAAGAGTTAGAGTAGCTTTAAGATCAGGTTCAATGTGATTTCATGCTCTATCTATGTATCTTGTGCTATATAAAATTCTCCTATTTGTGTTCCACACTTCAGAAATTTTCATCAAATGAGTTGTGAAGGTGACAGATAAGCAGGACAAAGTGAAGGTCATTTGCAGTAGGACGCATCTTCGTGCTGTGCGGGTTTGCATGGAGACATGTCAAGCCTAAGGTGCTCTCCATGCTGTGCCTGTGCCCTTTCTCCAAGCCAAATCCAGAAGAGGAGGAGGAGGATCTTCCCCCACTACAACCCTTGAATGGATATGTGGGAAATCAAAACTCAGAGTCTAAGGTCAAATGGAGATGGAGCTGATCATTGGAAAACAGACGACTAAACTCTTTAAGTACCTACAGTAGTAGGTGGCCGGTGGTCTTAGCTTGGGTTCCCCCAGAAGTAGACCCCAATGCAGAGTTCGAGGACATGTAGTTTAAGAAATGATCCCAGGAAGCATTGATGGGGAGTGAAGGAGTATCCAGGGAAGGAGAGAAGCCATGAAGGGCCCCGCCACTGTGGGCAACTGGAGCTTGATTCCGTGTAGATTATTCCACTCAAGACTGAGGGAGCTGGAATATTTACAGCCTTTGAGGAGTTCATTTCTGGGAATTTTCGTCTGCCCTTTGGGCAATTACAGTTGTCCCTGTGTGGCTTGGAGAAAGCTCTCAGGTCATGAGATAAAGACTCAGGTTGTCAGCAGCCAGCTCAGTCACAGTGAGGCCTGGAGGAGGGAGGCAGGACACTGACTACTTCGGATACCCCTTCTCTGCCAGATGCTTAAATGTTTGCTATTCAATCTAATCCTTACCACAGCCATTCAAGATAGCTCTTTCCCCTTATTTACGTGTAGAGGAAGAGGCACCGGGAATTACATCATGTGACCCTTACAGCCTGTCCTCTCCTACACCTCTGCTTTTATATCTTCCTAGTCATCGTCTTCTTCTTCTTCTTCTTCTTCTTCTTGAGACAGGATCTCACTCTGTCACCCAAGCTGCAGTGCAGTGGTGCAATCATAGCTCACTGCAGCCTCGACCTCCTGGGCTCCAGCAATCCTCCCGCCTTAGCCTCCTGCATAGCCGGGACTATAGGCATACACCACCGTGCCCAGCTATCTTGTTTAAGTGGTGACGTACAAAGTGACAGCCACTAAATAGCTGTTAAATAAACTAACCGATTAACAAGAAATGGTGGAGCGCTAGCTAAACACTGATTTCACATCCTTTCTTTTCCACCAACTCCACTTTCCGCATTCTTAGAACCAGGAATGTCCTCGAAAGTAACCAAGCTTGGAAGAAAACAGAAACAAAGAAGAAAACTATTTGGCAGATTCCCAGTATTCTGTCATGGACAATTGCTCTTCACACCCCATGCTGGGTGGGAAACCAGCTTCTGGGCAGGGGAAGGAGGGACTCCCCATGCAGGAGTTTAAATGACTAGAGCGCCTACTCTCACTTCTCAACACAAGCAAAGGGAAAAGATTGGTGGCCGATCTCTGCATAGCTTAGAATTATGTATAACCCTTTCAGAACGATTGTCCCCTTTATGATTACAGATGGTCTTCATTTTGAAAAAATTTCAGCAAGATAAAAAATTTGCCTCAAGTCCTTGGTGGAAGAAAGGCAATTGAATGAATGAATGAAGGAAGAAATGAATGAATGGGCTAAGTGAAAGAATAAACATAGAGAAAAGTAAGGGTGGAGCTCTTGGGCGGCTCACTATGGACAGGGAGAACACAGTGTGCTGTCACTTGTCCTCAGCCCCTTGGAGATGATCCTAATGACTACAGGGATAGGACACGCACAGAATCCAATCCTCAGTCACCATTTCTCGCCAGTCAGGACTCATGTCCAAAGAGGCTGAAAAGGACGTAAATGATTCTAATCCACCATAAAGAATAAGTGACGGCCCACACTTTGAAGTACTGAAATAATTCAGGAAAAATAAAAGCTTAGTTGCTGTCAGGTAAGCTCTCTGACGACAGTAGGAAGAGGGGAGGGGCCATGTACTTACACACCAGGAAGCATCTACCCAGAACAATTTCATAAGTAGAAATCATGCTGGTTTGAATGTTGCACTAAAACCAGCACCTCCAGGTCAACTTGGAGACCGGGAGTCACTCATTCCTCTTCTGGGGCATGTGGAGGTCCTCCCTGCCCCAGTTGAGGAGTGTTCACAGTGGGGAAACACCACCAGATGTCTGGCACCAACTCAGGAAGTAGGAGCCTGAATGAGTCCCTCCTCTCCCACAGGCCACAGCAAGTGGCTGAGAACTCACCCAAGTGTAGGATGGAACCGCTGGTGGATCATCTTGCCTCCCCGACGCTCTGGCCCTCTCTGGGCAGGCGGGCGGGAGGTGACAGCTAGTCCTGCTGCATGCTCATGTTTCCCTCTCCATGCAGCGAGCGGACTTGCTTCTAGAGGCAGCTGTAAGCATTTCCCTACTGAGCAACCACACACGTCGGATGTGAGTGGCATATGTATGTGTGTGTTTTTCCTTCCGGTTGCTGTGAGGTGATGTTGTCTTGGTTCATTTCCTCTCTGTGCTTCTTCTTTTTTTTCTCTGTCATACTTTCTGATTCGCTGAGGACACTTTGTAGTTTAGGGACAGGTAAGAAAGCTTGTTCTCATCTGGCCTCTTTGCTATTTTTAGAAAGGTAGGTGATCTTTAAATTCGTATTGCAAGGAAATTTGTCAAAATGTATTCTTCTAAGTGGCATAAGCTCCCTCCTAGGCCGCACTGAAGCAAAAGTTAGGCTATTTCCAAGCCAACTGAATTGGGATTTTATGGTTTTATGGACTCAGTATGTTGCAAAGGGTTCCACTATTAATTGACATGAAACATTCTTTCCTATGACAAGTACTTATTGAGCTTGTACACTGGAATAGACACCATGCTAGAGGCTAGGTGCTCAGAGAGTTTCCTACTTACAATGTGGTATGGAAGCCTAGATCTGTGTATGTAGAAGGGAATTCGAAAGCCCAAACCCTTTGTCTTCTTCATTCTGTGCTTTCAAGTAGCAGACAAGTGGCTCTGAGACAAGCCTCCTGGGTTTGAATTATGGCTCTGCTCTTTAAACACTTCTGGCCTTTCTGTGCCACGGCCTCCTCATCTGTAAAATGGGAACAGTCACAGGATTGTTGTGAGAATTAAGTGAATTAGTACATGTAAAGCACTCCAAGAATGCCTGGCACAAATAGAGTAAGCGCAATATAAGTGTTTGCCGTGATCATTCGTGGCAACTTTGTATTATTATCAGCTGAGATCTTTGCTATTTTCCTACCCTTCCTCATTTTCCACTCCTTGCTCATGCCTAGCAAACGACTTGGGGACATAGAGGGTTGAGAGGAAAGAGAGAGAGGTGGTTTGATAATGGATGTTCCCCAAATGATCCTGTGGTGCTTGATGTTTCTGCTTCAACTCCTTCCTGCTCCATCATGAAGACAAAGAAAGGGCTGCCCTTGGTCCCACCCATCAGACTCAGCTCATGTATGTTGCACTCTTGTGGCATCTCTTTTGTTGTTGTTGTTGTTGTTTGTTTTGTTTTGTTTTGTTTTAATTTTCTGTAAGACTTCTCTGAAATTCATTTATTTTTAAATGTTTGAGCTGGTTCAAATCTTGCTAAAGAATATTCTGCTCATACAAAGGTGCCACACTTAAAGCAATAAACACTCAGCTCAGTGCCATGTACACTGGGTCTTATGAAGAAATCAATGACAAGAACATCGATATTAATCATCATATATTGTATATATTGTATACATATATTGTACCTGTTAAGTGCAATTAACAATATTCAGCAAGGTATGCTTTTATTCTTCTTTCCTCTCTTTCTTTCTCCTTACAAAACCATTCTTGAGTACATGCTATGTATCCACATCATTCCAGATTTGAGCTAGAATTATTCTACTCTGAAGTTTTTATTTTATAATACAGAGTGTTTATAATAAATTGATGGAGGTAGAGAAGTCTGGATAGTACATGTTTTATCAAAACGTCCTTTTATGCTTTTCCCCTTATACCGTATCAGGTAAGGAATTATTTTCTTCATCAGGCATTTAATTAGTATAACTTTAAATGTACAAACTTTAGAAAACATAATTAATAATTTTGTAGTATGACTTGAATATTAATGCCATCAAATTGTCTGCATAAGTCAGTTACACTCTAGAGATATTAAAAATGCTAAGCTTGGGCTCCTTTTACATAAAATACTTGAGACTGACAACCTTATTATCCTGAACTCTGTTTTTTCATCTTCATCCTATGGCTTCATTTCCCACTTCCAGCTGCCTGGACCTCCCACTGCTGAGTTTTTCAGAACAGAGAGCGAGCGAGCATGTCCTTCAAGGCAAACTCAGGAACTGAGACTTTGTCCAAAAACAGATCAGACTTATTTTAGAAAAACAAGTTAAATATTTTTCCCATTTGCAAAGATGCCGGTTTTCTATGTCTGTTTTCCTACTTACAGTGTTAGATTTTCTTCTTCTTCTTTGGTTTATTTTCTTTTTGATTAGTAGCAGGTTATGCTGCATGTCAACATTTTGGCAAACCACAGATGATTCTGACAAAAAACAAACAACTTTAATTTCTAATCACTCTATCCATTGAGGACAGGGCTTACATTTTCATCTTCATTTAAACCAGCTTCTTGACTGCTTTAATTAGCTCCTTCATGCCATCTCAGTTAGCTGGAATCTTAGCTTGCACCACAAAATGCTTTATAACTACCTGTGAAGCAGTAGCCAAACCCCAGGCAACTGTTTTGAATTTGTTATGGAGGTCTGGTCCAAGGAGCAGCTGTTGTATGGAGTGGAGGATGAGGATGGGGGAAGGAAAAGTAAGGAGAATTTGAGAAGACTCAAAGGTTGAGAAATCTATGGCCAAAGTGTGTGCACATGTGTGTGTGCATGTGTGCACGCATGCACATGTGTCTATTTATGATTCCATTTGCTTGACTCATTCCCCTCCACGATGGAAGACAGTATGAGCCATGGGGAATCAACTGCCCACTGAGGAATTTAAATGAAAATGCTCAAGGGCTGGTCTGGCAAATTTTAAGAACAAAGTTGTCTAGAATTATAATGGATGCCTCCTCCCTTCTTGGGAATGGGAGTTTGTCTTGTGGTTTTCATTTTTAGATGAGGAAATCAGAGCTCAAAAAGATCCCGTTCATTTTTTCCCATTCATTAACTATCGCATACCTGCGAAGTCTCCTGAGCTTTCCTGGGCATTCTCGATACCTCGCTCCACAGGACACCCTCCAGAAACCTGTAGCTCAGTGGGAGATAAGCCAGCAAGATAGCTGTTTCTGTTCATTAGTTAATTCATGATCTTAAAAGCATTATTTAACATGGGCTAAAATAAATAAAAAAGAAATGAGAATCAGTTTCTCCCCTAAGAGAGATGATAGTCTGGAAGGCATGGAAGAATGAGCCTTATTCACCTTCCTCTTCTGCTCTCTTGCCCTTATAAACCTCCTTTTCTCTCTCCCCTAACAGGACACCTTTGTCTTTTGCCTGTCTATTCTCCCAGTCCCTCAGCCAAGTCCTGGGCTCTCTAGCCCTCCTACATTGCCAGAACTCCATGACCTATTTCAGCAATGTGTATAATGTAGATTTCCTTGCTCTTGTTCTTCCATTTTCCACCCATGTCATGCACCAGAGCTATCCAGACTTACTGGGGAAAGTTAATAAGGCAACTTGTTTCCTTGCAAATTCTCCCCAATAATCTTAACTGAGGCCCTTCTGCTGCTCAAGAATTTTCCTTCTCATCTCCTGCTGTCTGTCAGGTCCCCTGTGGTATCCCTTCTAGACCTTTCTCATGTTCTAAAAGCTCTAAGCCTAGCTGTTGCCTCCTGTTATGCCTGGGGTAAGGTCTCATGATGGGAACTCTTTCAGGATGCCTCAAGATCCCTGCAGTTTCACCATTTCTTCCATACTGTTCCCCATTCTCTGTCCATTCTTCAGTCCTTTGAATTACAGCTTCAAGCATCACCACCCAATTAATAATGATAGTAAGAGCTATCATTTTAAATTTATATTAGCAGGAGGCAAACAACATTGGCAAAGATGAAACCATTCTTCTAGTCATAGAACAGCTGTTTGAGAAAACACGGGCACCTGGAAGAGCAAAAGGAAGAAAGACTGAACACTTTTAAAGACAGAAGTGATGCCAAATTGTAAAGATTCTGACTTATTGGAAGCATTCATTGCATTTAGGCATCTTGCAAACACGTATTTCTCCATGGTTTACACCCTGTTTGCCTACCCTTCCACTACATAATAACCATCTTTGACTTCTCAAAAAATACTTGGTAAAACTTAATTAGTGCTAATTTCTCTATAACTTTAAAATAAAATTTTAAAATCTACAAGTAATAAATTTATCTTGTAAAGAACTAACATTGCAGATGAGGTTCTCCAAAGTGTCTTTGCCCATCAGCCCTAGTTTTAATTTTCTCTCTTGCTTTGCCCACAGAGAACCTTTGCTATCGGTTTGAGGTACATTCTACTAAGACATTTTCAGGCATTCATATAAATATATGTCACCACTGCCAATTTGCAGTTGTGCACATGTGTACTACCCTTGCCCTTGAGCATGCATGTGCACACAAACAGAACCTGATACTGAAACCATCATACTGTACTATCCTCGGTTTCTGAGGGAACTGTATAAACTGCCGTTCTGGTTTCACATGAAACAGCAACTTGGAAACAACATCTTATTCACGAGAATGTAAAAAACAAAACTGCATTGCTGCTTTAGATGGTTGAACAGGTGAGGCTCCTCAGTTTATCTGAATCTTGTCCATTTGTTTTCTAAATACATAGAAATGTGGATTCACATCCAGCTGATTTACCTCTGGGTAGAGATTCCTGGATCAAATACTAAAGATCTATTTGCCATTTGATAAAGTGATTTTTGGGATTGTTCCTTTTTGCCTTCACAATCACCTAGCTAAAAAGTCAAATCACAACCCTCCCCTGATATATACATAAGCTGCCCCTGACAATGACCCCAGACACGGGGAGGGATGCCAAGTGCTGGGATTATTTACATCCACTTTTTTCTCTACAATGACTGACTGTTTACCTCTCTCCTTCCTTGGGCGTTTCCCTTATCCTGACTCTCATAGCAGCCTCCATTTCACAGTGCCATACTGTGGGTTAACTACTTTCTAAATTGAGAAATATTTTTTACTGATCCCTAGTAGTTAAAACTGCAGCACTCCCTGTTTGTTCCCTTTAGTTTTTATACAATGATTTTTTCTCTAAGACAATAGAAATTTAAACTGGAAATCCAACTTACCCTTCCTCTATTTTCACCACAACTTTTCTTATAAACAAACACCTATGTCCATATTTTCCTGGCAGTCCTAACTCAGTTCCTTGGTTCCATCTTCTTCTTTGCCTCTTTCTCTTCTTTCTTTCTTTCTTTTTTTTTGAGACAGAGTTTTGTTCTTGTCGCCCAGGCTGGAGTGCAATGGCGCGATCTCGGCTCACCGCAACCTCCGCCTCCCGGGTTCAAGTGATTCTCCTGCCTCAGCCTCCCAAGAAGCTGGGATTACAGGCATGCGCCACCATGCCCGGCTAATTTTTTGTATTTTTTAGTAGAGACGGGGTTTCTCCATGTTGGTCAGGCTGGTCTCGAACTCCCGACCTCAGGTGATCCGCCCACCTTGGCCTCCCAAAGTGCTGGGATTACAGGCGTGAGCCACCGCGCCCGGCCTCTCTTCTTTCTTTCATACTCAGTTTTCCTAAGAAATTTGTCTACACTTCATACCTCCACTTCCACACTTTCCATTCCTTCCTTCCTCACTGCATTCCTTCCATCCTGACATCTGGTCCATGCCTCCAGCTCTCCGCTGAAATCATCTTTGCTAAGGTCACCCTCAGGAACCTGGATGATAAACCGGTAGACACTACAAAGTCTTTTTCTCTGCTGCATTGGAAGTGGTTGAGCAATTCTTTCCTCTCAGACCCCTCTCTACTTCTTTGGAGGACACCTCTTGCCTTGGTTCCCCTCTTTCTGGTTCAGTACACTCCACCACTTACTGCTACGGTGATTCACCCTTGGGCATCACACATTTTCACTCTTCTGCTTTCTGTATGGGTAGGTTCATCCCATTTAAAAGAGGGACCTTCTCTTCCCACACTTCCATTTGTCCTAGTTCATTTGCATTGCAATAAAGGAATACTTGAGGCTGGTCATTTATAAAGAAAAGAGCTTTATTTGGCTCATTGTTCTGCTGGGCTGTACAAGTCGCATGGTGCCATTGCTTGGGGGAGGGACAGGAGGGCCTCAGGGAGCTTCCAGTCATGTTGGAAGAGGAAGGGAAGCTTGCATGTGCAGAGATCAGGTGATGAGAGAGGAAGCAAGAAAGGGCGGAAGTGCCAGGCTCTTTTTAACAACCAGCTCTTGTGGGAACTAATAGATTAAAAACCCACTCACCACCCTGTCAAGGGAAGACACTAATCTAATCTGCACTAATGAAGGGTCTGCACCCATGACCCAAACACCTTCAATCCAGCCCCACTTTCAACATTGGGGGTTAAATTTCAGCATGAGATTTGGAGGGACAAACATCCAAACTATTGTCTTTTGCCTGTCTGTTCTCCCAGTCATTACCCATGTCATTACCGTATTCTCAGTCCCTCTGCCCCAAAACACTGCAGATCTTTTCCCCACTGCATCTTCAATCCAACCAGTCACCATATTCTGTGTTGTTGTCTTTTTAAATTAAATCTCAAATCCAATCTTGTTGACGCATTCAGTTCCCTCTCTGTGTGTCCCTTGCCACTTTCTTAGTTTAGACGTTAATTGCTCAGACTGTTACAACAATTCCTAGCTGTGAGGTCCTCTTCTAGCCTCTATAGAACACTGTTAGGAACACGGTAGGTGCTATGGTTCAGATTTTTGTGTCCCCCCCAAAATTCATATGTTGGAACCTAATTCTTAAGGTGTTATTATTAGGAAGTGGGGCATTTGAGAGGTGATTAGGAGATGAGGACAGTGTCCTGATGAATGGAATTAGTCCCCTTATAAAAGAGGCCTGAAGGAGTCTTTTGCTCCTCTCACCACATGCAGACCCAGCTGGAAGGCACTATCTATGAGGAAGAGGGACCTCAGCAGACACTGAATCTGCTGGCGCCTTGATCTTAGACTTCCAGCCTCCACTACTGGGAGCAATCACTTTCTGTTGTTTGTAAGTTACTCAGTCCTAGTTATTTGGTATAGCAGCCTGAATGGGCCAATACACCAGGTCCTCAGGAGATATTAATTGAATGAACATCTTCAAAATATTAGATACTTCCATAGACAAACTTCATATCTTCTCATGTTCACTTTCTGCTTAAAGACTTTTGCCAACTTCCTGTTGCCTACAAAATAGAATTGAAATGACTGTGCTGGTGAATGGCAGTCCACTCTTCTCTTTACATTCTCTCCTGCCTTGTCCACCTCTGCAGTGCCCTTCACCTTCCCATCACATCAAACTGTGATTCACCCTTGGGCCCCACACATGTTCATGCTCCTGCTTTCTCTGGATAAGTTCATCCCATTTAAACCAGGGGCCAGCCTTCTCGTCCCATACTTCCATTTGTCTCAGTCCATTTGTGTTGCTATAAAGAAATACCTGAGTCTGCTAATTTATTAAACATTGAGGCTGCTCTCGGTCCCCTCCTATTCCATAATTTCTCATGGTTATGGCATGTAAAGGCTGTTCCCCTGCCTAGAATGCCCTTTCTCCTTGTCTTTCTGGCAACCCCTTGGTATCCCCTGGACAGAGTCTTCCTTTCCTCCTTCACTGTCACCAGGCCCTCTATTAATCACATAATGTCACAATAGTGTATCTCCATTCCCTGGACTTTGAGGCTCCAGAGGGCAGGGAACTGTTGTTTATTCATTCTGGAGACCAAACTAAACATTTTACAAAGTAGTCCATGGAGGTCTCTTATCAGAATCACCTATGAGGCTGGTTAAATGTAGATTCCCAGGCTCTGTGACTCAACTGCAAATTCTGTTTGTCTTGGTCGTGGGACTGTCCTAGGCAAATCTTACGGACATGAATGTTTGAGAACACTTCTACAGCATCCAACAAATATTTGATGAATAAAAACTTGATTAAAAAAGTACTGAGATCCCTGCTCCTAAAATTCTGCTCTATTTCCTTCATTCCTCTGGGGTGTAGTTTGGCTGGGGACAGGCCCAGGTATTTGGCTCAGTCATAGATCAAAGTGACCTAAATGGGAAACAGCTGTGCGTTATTCCCCAACCATGTCACGCAAGTACCTATTGTCCTGTCCAAAACGCCAAATTAGGTTTAGGGCCATTCAAATTCCGGAAGATGGTTGGCTGTGATAAGAACTAACAAATTCTTGCTCAAGTGGAAACTGGTTTTGCAGGGCATACTCTGCATTTTTAACTCACTAAAGCCAAGTTCTTAAGTTTAAGTGGTTCGTAAGTATCTTCTAATGAGCTGCACGGTTCCATTTGCTGTGCCTATCATCGGTATTGATAACTCTAGTATCAGCTAGTAGCCCTCACCTGTTGACACTGAGTGGATTGTGAATGAGCTTTTTTAGACTTTAGATGAGACTGCTGGGAGACTGTAATGATAGGCAAGCCTTGTTTTGGCCACAAACTCTCTAAAATGTCCTTTTTAATCTTGAGCTCTAGCAACACAATTTTGAGATCTGTCATAATGCACCATACCAGAACCCACGAAGACTTTACAAAACATACATCATCTGAATGACCTCAAGACTACACGACAACACATATTTGTTGTATTTGTTATTTACCAAATATGTATGTATTATGTATCATTACTTACCAACCAATGAAATCTTTTCTTTTTTTTTTTTTCTTTCTTTTTTTTTTTTTTGAGACAGAATCTTGCAGAATCTTGCTCTGTTGCCAGGCTGGAGTGCAGTGGCATGATCTCTGCTCACTGCAACCTCCGCCTCCCAGTTCAAGTGATTCTCCTGCCTCAGACTCCCGAGTAGCTGGGATTACAGGTGCAAGCCACCATGCCCGGCTAATTTTTTTGTATTTTTTAGTAGAGATGGGGTTTCACCATATTAGCCAGGATGGTCTTGAACTCCTGACCTCGTGATCCACCCGGCTTGGCTTCCCAAAGTGCTGGGACTACAGGCTTGAGCCATCACGCCCGGCCAATGAAATCTTTTAAAAATTCCATATAGATGCCGCAGTTCCACTTCGGGATATATATATCCTAAGGACTTGAAATTATGTTGAAGAGATATCTGTACTCCCATGTTTACTGCAGCACTGTTTATAATAGCTAAAATAGGAAATTTTCCTGTGTCCATCAGTGAACGAATGGATAAAGAAAATGTGGTATATACACACAATGGAATACAATTTAGCCTTAAAAAGAAAGAAATCCTATAATTTGCAACAACAGGGATGGATATGGAAGACATTATGCTAAGTGAAATAAGCCAGGCACAGAAAGACAAATACTGCCTGCTCTCACTCATATGTGGAATCTAGAATAATTTAACTAATAGAGAGCAAAATGATGGTAAAATGATTTTTGCTCCAAATAATGTAAAAATACCAGAGGCTGGAGGTCAGGGAATGGGGAGGTGGTGGTAAAGGGGTAGAAAGTTAGACAAGAGGAATAAATGATAAGTATTTAAGGGGATGGATATGTTAATTAGCTTGATTCCAACATTCCTCGTTGTATACATACACCATAACATCACTGTGCACCCTATAATTATATCTGATTATAATTTGTAAAAAAAATAAATAAAAGGACACATAAAAATGTAGAAACACACTGATATCATATACGGGTGAATACATATTTGTATCTGAGATATGGAAAATAAAGACACCAGGAGTGATTTGAAATTGCTCTTTCTGGTTCCTTTGTGGAGGAGTTAAGACCTGTCTATGGCATCCAAGAAGAAACAGGATATGGATTGGCAATTAAGCCACCAGCTGGATTGCTCAGATAATGCCACAGTTAGGTGGAGCCTTAGAGGTCATCTAACTTTATTTAGTACATATTACTTATTCTTTAACATTTCCATCATTTCTTTATTACACAAATAACACACAGTCGTTATTGAAACCAGAAAAAAGAAATAATTTGAAAAGATGACAAAACCAATGTTACATTGGAGAATACATTCTTTTAGACATTTTCCCATGCATATGTAGTGTTAGCCATCAGAATGTATTAGTTTTCTATTGCTGCTGTAACAAGTTACTGCAAACTTAACAGCTTAAAACAACACAAATCTGTTATATTACAGTTCTATAGGTTAAAAGTTTAACACAGGTTTAACAGGGCTAAAGCTGGGGTGTTTGGCAGGCTGTGTTCCTCCTCTTTAGGTTGGGAAGAATCTGCTTCCTTGCCTTTTTCCAGCTTCTAGAGGCCATCCACATTCCTTGGTTCACGGCCCCTTCCTCTATCTTGAAAGCCAGTAGTGCAGCATCTCTCTGACCATTCTTCCCTCATCACATCTCTCCTTGACCACAGCTGGGAAAATCTCTCCCTGATTTTAAGAACCCATATGATTAGACTGGGCCCACATGTATAACATAGGACCCTATCTCAATGTTGTAACTTAATCATATCTGCAAAATCCCTTTTGCCATGTAAGGTAACATAGTCTCAAATTCTGAGAATTAGGATGTGGACATGTTTAGGGCTATTATTTTGCCTATCACACATAGAGATGAAACAACTCATGTTCGTGCAGGATACGTGACTTACCCAAGATCACAGGCTGGTAAATATTGGATCTATTAGTTAAACTTTTTCAGCGAGTCTGATGCAATTAGATTCTCTGGTGGAAATTCATGATGAAAGAGATGTAAGGAACTAATGGAAATTACTGATGAAAGGGACATAACAAAGAAATGCAGAGCTTGAATGGACTTAGTTCTGAGTCTCACACTTTGTTCTCAGTCTACAGATACCATGATCTTGATCTCTCAAAAGCAGGCATTGGCACAGGAGGTGCCTGTCTGTTTCTGCTGCCACTCTTGACATCTCTCAGATGACCCCTTCTGGCTCCTTTCAATTTCCTTCTTTTGCTGTTTGGCTTGGCTTCTGCTGTCTCCTGCTTCCACCGGCTGCCTCCTTTCCATGAGTCTCTCGGTTTCTGGATCCTATTGCCACTTGCATTTCTCTCTGTGTCATTTTCAAGTTCCCTAAAAGAAAATATCTGATATAGTTCATTGTTCACTGCAGGGCACTAGGCAACCCTTATCGTGTAGAGATTCCCACTGTGTTATCTCCCTGGCTGCCAGCCAGTTTGCTGATGGCTGTCTTCAAAGACAACTGCCATTTCCTGGTTTCATCAGCCAGGATCATAGGGTCAAACGTGACAATCTGCACGTACGAAATCACTCATGGTCACCTCCCTCAGCATAGCACCACGGGCAGGGTAGGCACAGAGAGACTTTTCTCCGAATCCTGGACTGGAATTTTCTTCCTGGCTCACCCCTGCATATACTGAAGCTGAGCCATATCGGGGTACCACAGCTAGAATGATGTAGCTGAATGAATGAGCGTGAGAAGGGGCCAAAGGGGAGGAAGACATCAGTCCCGAGAACCAAGACTGAATATGGGCATTTGGAAAACAGTTTAGGTAATTGCATTCAGTACTTCAAGGCTCTAATTGCTGTTCTTTAACAAGGAGGCCACATTGGCTTATGAAAAGTTCTAAAATTATATAATTTTTATCAGTAACCAGGACCTCAAGTTGCTCCCACAAACCACATAGGGCCTTGCAAAATGAGGCTTTGGGAAGGGGACTCTGATGTTTCTAAATTTCGCACCCTTTGGTTTCTCCAGCTACATTAGCTCTGAAAGGGGCACAAAATGGCCTCATTAACTGGGGAAGAACGAGTCTAAACGAGTTTCAGAAGAAGAAAAGGTCTCTTGGATCCATTGAGCCCTGCCACCACCCCCACCAACCTTCCTAATGGAAGAATGCTGCTGGAAAAGTGTCATCCGATATTTCCCACAAAAATGTGTGCTGTGGTCACAGCTCAGAGATGCCAACACAAATCTCCAACACAGCCACCTCCTGACTGAGAATACATTCTGGGCTGTTTTTAGTTTGAGCCTCAGTAATCGGGGACAAAAGCTGATTTCAATTTTAATTAATTACATGGGAGTGAACGGCCATCTGATCCATAGGGGTCATAGCACATAATGCCCTCAGTGGCACTATGCCGGCAGAGCACTGGGAGGAACTTGTCTTTGTGGTATGCTACATTTTCTCTTCCTGTTGCACTTTTAGAGAAGATTCTCTAAAAATGATTGTGTCCTCAGCCTCCTACACTTTATAATAATTAACCAAATTCATTCATTTTTACTTTTTTTAAATAACAGTCTTCCTGCTGCCCATCAAAACATATTTTTTGAGCAATAAGCACTCTGTTCAGAGCTGGAATAAACTGGTGAGTAAAAACAGACATGGTCTGGGAGACTACACAGATTGGATATTTTTGCTCCAAATAATGTAAAAATACAACTTACACTGGGTTGAACAATAGATATTTGCTGCCTCATCAAGCAAGAATCCAGGGGGTAGGGTGGGTCCAGCATTGGTTAATTCAACAGTTCCATAGAAGTCTTCATATCAGCTTTGGTCTGAAGTTCTTGGTTCCCTCATGATTGCAAACTGTCTGCAATAGCTCTAGGCGGTGCATTCCCAACCACATCTAAATGAAAATAAATTAAAAAACCCAAAAGAAAGGCTCACTGCTCTTCGGATCTCTATGCTTCTTTTTGAGAGATGATTCCTTTCCTAGAAAAACTCTTCCTCCAAGGCTCACTCTCCAGCAGACATATCCACAAGTCTTAGAGGCAGAATTGCATCCCAAGCCTGTTCCTAAGCCAGTCAACAACAAAGCAAATGAAATGGTCCTAAATGGTTTAGGACCGTCACATTTTACCTCCTGGGGTTAAGAAAAGGCTCAGTCTGCAGCCATAAAAAGGAATGAGTTCATGTCCTTTGCAGGGACATGGATGAAGCTGGAAGTCATCATTCTCAGCAAACTAACACAGGAACAGAAAACCAAACACCACATGTTCTCGCTCATAAGTGGGAGTTGAACAATGAGAACACATGGACACAAGGAGGGGAACAACACACACCAGGGCCTCTCGGTGGGTGGGGGGGCAAGGGGAGGGAGAGCATTAGGACAAATACCTAATGCACGTGGGGCTTAAAACCTAGATGACAGGTTGATAGGTGCAGCAAACCACCATGACAAATGTATACCTGTGTAACAAACCTGCACATTCTGCACATGTATCTTGGAACGTAAAGTAAAATTTAAAATTAAAATTAAAAAATAAAAGGCTCAGTCTTTCCCAAAGCACAAAGATGCCCCATTCAGAAACACAATTCAGGATCCTTAGCAGGGAGAAAGGATAGTTATTGGATAAGAAGCCAGCAATGGCTGCCTCAATAAGAGACTTTCAGATGACCTGGGAGGGAGGGGAAGAAACACTACCCACCCCCAACCCCGCTCCCTAGTAAGCACAGAGTCAGGAAGATCAAAGTTTTAGGGTCAGCATTGCTACTTAGTAGTTGTTAGATCTTGGATTAGTTATTTAGCCTTGTGGAACCTCAATTTCTGCATCTGTGAAGTGGGAAATTACACCTATCTCACTGGGTTGCAGTGAGAATCAAATATATTAGTATATGCAAATTACCTGGCAGGCACCCAGCCCATAGATTTGTCCAGTAAATACCATTCCCTTGCCCAAAGCCCTTGGGCAGCTTACAGTCCAACTTGCTGGGTAACTGACAGGTCAGTCTGCTCACATTCTGATTATTAAGCACTATGGAAAAGGTATGTAAAGAGGCTTCCTAGGGGAGGGAATACTATCACAGTTCCTAGGAGCCACTAAGGTCCTCCAGATGCTTTTCTAGATCCAATGGGTGCTTTCCATTTCTTTGTCTTACCTTACCTTTCTGCAGCATCACTTATCTTGGCAATTCCTTTTCTTCTTTTTTTTTTGAGACGGAGTTTTGCTCTCGTTGCCCAGGCTGGAGTGCAATGGTGTGATCTCGGCTCACTGCAACCTCTGCCATCTAGGTTGAAGCGATTCTCCTACCTCAGCCTCCCAAGTAGCTAGGATTACAAGCGCCCACCACCATGTCTAGCTAATTTTTTTGTATTTTTAGTAGAGACAGGGTTTCACCATGTTGGTCAGGCTTGTCTTGAACTGCTGACCTCAGGTAATCCACCCACCTCGGCCTCCCAAAGTGCCAGGATTACAGGTGTGAGCCACCGTGCCCAGCCAGCAATTCCTTTTCTTCTTAACTCTACCTTGCCCTCTTGCCCTGTGTTCCATTACAATTTTCTCCTGGTTTATTATCTACCTCTCTAGCAACTCCTTTTCATGCTCCCTTCCAGGGTCCTCTTTTTTTTTTCCCTTCCCCAAACTGTGTTTCAATCTCACCTGTCAATTCCCCTTCTGTTTCAATCTCACCTGTCAATTCCTGAGGTGAGATCCCATTGTTTCCTACACTTTCAACTCCTATTTATATGTTCACGACACATAGGAGACATTCAATGCACATTGTTTTAATTCATTTTTTATTCAACAAATATTTATTGAGTGCTTACTATATGCTTGGTGCTGTTCTGTGTGCTGGAGATAGAGCAATAAACTAATCACACCAATCCCTGCCCTCATGAAACTTACATTCTAGTGAAGAGACAGACAATGAATAAATGAAATAAACATTTCACATGTTAGATGGAGGAAATGCTTTGGAAAAATATAATGCTGGGTAGGTAGGATGGGTGGCCATGAGCAGACCCTTCTATTCATTATGGGGTCCCCGGGAATGCCTCCTTAATAATGCAACATTTAGGCAGAGACTTAAAATAAGGGAGGGATTATACCATGAGGCTGGGCAGGGGCAATAACAAGCACAAATGCCCTGGGGTGGGACAGTGTTTGGCATCTTGAAGGAATCATCATGGGGCTAGAATGAAGGGAGAAAGAGGATGAAAAGATCAGGAAGACAGATCAGGTTGCAAGGGCAATGTTAGGGCTTTGGCCTCTACCGTGAGTGAGACAGGAGCTGTTGAAGATTTTAAGGAGAGGAGCAATATGATCTGACTTATGCTCCTAGAGACCACTGCAATAATCAAAGTGAGAGATAGTGGGGGCTTGGATCAGGGTGGTGGTGGTAGAGTAGTGAGAAATGATTAATTTGAGTCATAATTGGAGGTGAGACCAACACTATCTTCTGCTGGATGTGGGGAGTGGAAGAAAGAAATCAAGATGGAGCTCAAAGGTTTTGGCCCCAGTAAAGAGAAGGAGAGTTGTCATTTTCAGAGGTAAGAAAGACCGACCAGCAGCCGTGGATCACACCTGTAATCCCAGCACTTTGGGGTGCCGAGGCGGAAGGATCACCTGAAGTCGGGAGATCAAGACCAGTCTAGCCAACGTGGTGAAGCCCCATCTCTACTAAAAACACACACACAAAAAATAGCTGTGCATGGTGGCACGCTCCTGTAATCTCAGTTACTTGGGAAGCAGAGGTGGGAGAATCACTTGGACCTGGGAGGCGGAGGTTGCAGTGAGCCGAGATCGTGCCACTGCATTCCAGCCTGAGCAACAAGGTGAGACTCCACTTCCCAAAAAAAAAAAAAAAAAAAAAAAGAGAGAGGGACTGTGGGGGAACACACAGTGGGTGAAAATACAGAATCAATTTAGTGTAAATCAAATCCTACATGGTTATTAGACATTGAAGTGTAGCTGTTGAGAAGGGCATTTGATATGTGAATGTGGAGTTTAAGAAATAGGTCTGGATTAAAGATAAAACTTTGGAAGTCATCAGCACCTAGTTGATTTCAAAAGCAGTGATGCCAGATGAGGTCGTCAAGGGTATGCACTTAGAACAGAGAAGCAAACTGAGGACTGAGAATCGGGCATGCCAAGATGAAGAAGTCAGGGAGAGGAGGGAAACCAAGAAAGGAGACTAAGGAGTGGCCTGAGAGGAAGGAGGACAACCATGACTGTGTGGGGTCCTGAAAGGCAAGTGCAGAGAGGCCAGGAGGAGGTGAAAAGTGTGTCCACTGCTGATAGAGGAAGTGCGATGGAGGCTGAGAACAGAGTGGCGGATGTAGTGATGTGGATGTCATTGATGACCTTGACAAAGCAGTTTCAATAGTGGGTACAAGAGAGAATGGGAAGAGAGAAGTTGGAGGCAGAAGTATAGGCAACTCTGTCAAGGTGCTTTGCTGTAAAGGAGAGGAGAAGAATGGGGTGATAGCTAAAGGATGGTGTGGAGTCAAAGAAGGTTTACATTTGCTTTTAAGATAGGAGATTCAATATGCTTGAACAATAATAGAAACAAGCTAATAGACACTGACATTTTTATGATGCAGTGGAGAGGGAATAGAATTATTGAAATGAGGTCTTTGGGAAAGGGAAAAGGGATGGGACCCAGAAAACTAACAGAAAATTTGGTTAGTTTTCCTCAAGAGAAAAGGCAGATTATAGGTGTGGGGGTGTGAGTTCAAGCACATCCTCTTCTGGCTGCTTCTGCTGTTTCCACGAAATAGAAAATAAGGCCATCGGCTAAGACCTAACTCTGTGCAGGAGGTGAAGAAGGCTCAAGGAGAAAGAATGGGGTGTGAGATAACCACCTTGGAGGGTAGGAGAGTAATGGACTCAGGGAACGTGGTAGGATCATTGATGGGTAAATACTGAGTCAACATTGGCTGTTGCATGTTAGCTCTACAATCTGCTTTGAACCCTGATATCTCTCCTGAGTTCAGCCTGATCTTCCTACAGTCCCTGTTTTAGAGACTGTCACTCCCATGCACCCAGTTTCCAAAGCAGAGAACTGGGAGTCATTTAAAATTCCTTCCAGTAAATAAATCATCTCTCCAATTGGTGACCACATTTTGTCACTTCTAGCTCCTTAATATTTCTTAACTTTTCCTCCTGAGTTGAGAGCCTTGCCAGTTTTCACTGGATTAGTTAAGTAACTGTCACATTGTTATTGCTTAGGCTATTTCCTCCACTAGACTATAAATTTTTAAAATTCAGCTCAACACTCTTCAATAAATGGTGCTGGACAAACTGGATAATCATATGCAGAATAATGAAACGAGACCCCCATCTCTCACATATACAAAAATCAAATAAAAATAAATTAAAGACTGAAATCTAAGACCCGAAAGTATTAAACTACTAGGAGAAAACACTGGGGAAATGCTCCAGGACTTTGATCTGGGCAAAGGTTTGTTGCGTAAGACCTCAAAAGCAAAGGCAATCTAAGCAAAAATAGACAAATGGGATTACATCAAGCAAAAACGTTCTGTACAGCAAAGGCAACAATCAGTAGAGTGTACAGACAGCCTACAGAATAGGAAAAGATATTTGCAAACTGTCCATCTGACAAGAATTTTAAAAACAGGATATATAAGGAACTCAAACAACTCAAGAGCAAAAAAAAAAAAATTAAAAAATAGACAAAAGATCTGAATAGACTTTTCTCAAAAAAAAAAAAAAAAAACCCTACAAATGGCCAATGGGTACATTTAAAAATGCTCAACACCACTAATAATCAGAGAAACACAAATCAAAACCACAATGAGCTGGGCATGGTGGCTCACGCCTGTAATCCCAGCACTTTGGGAGGCTGAGGCAGGTGGATCACTTGAGTTCAGGAGTTCCATACCAGCCTGGGCAACATAGTGAAACCCCATGTCTACTAAAAATACAAAAATTATCCAGGCGTAGTGACACAAGCCTGTAGTCCCAGCTACTTGGGAGGCTGAGGCAGGATAATTGCTTGAGCCCAGGAGGCAGAGGTTGCATGAGCCAAGATCACACCACTGCACTCCAGCCTGAGCAACAGAGTGAGACCCTGTCTCAAAACAAAACAAAACCCAAAAAACAACCACAATGAGATGATATCATCTCATCCCACTTAAAATGGCTTTTATCAAAAAGACAGGGAATAATGGATGCTGGCAAGAATGTAGGGAAAAGGGGAACCCTCATACACTATTGGTGGGAATGTAAATTAGTACAACCACCCTGGAAAACTAAATGGAAATTCCTCAAAAAGCTAAAAATAGAACTACCATGTGATTCAGTAATTCCACTGCTGAGTATATCTCCAAAAGAAAGGAAATCAATATATCAATGAGATATCTGCACTCTCATGTTTACTGCAGCACTATTCATAATAGTCAAAATATGGAATCAACCTAAGTGTCCATCAATGGATAAATGGACACAGAAAATATGGTATATGTAGACACTGGAATATTATTCAGCCATAAAAAGAATGACTTGAACCTAGGAGTTTGAAACTACTCTGGACGACATGGCAAAATCCCATCTCTCCAAAAAATTATAAACTTAGTGGGGTGTAGCGGCACATGCCTGTAGTCCCAGCTACTCAGGAGGCTGAGGTGGGAGGATTGACTGAACCTTGAAGATCAAGGCTGTAGTGAGCCATGATTGCGCCTCTGTACTCCAGCCTAAGTGACAGAACAAGACTCTGTCTCAAAAAAAAAAAAAAAAGAAAAGAAAAGAAAAGAAAAAGAAATCTTGTTATTTGCAGCAACACGGATGGAACTGGAGGTGTTTATGTTAAATGAAATAAGCCAAGCACAGAAAGACAAATACCACATTTCTCACTCTCATATGTGGGAGCTAAAAAAAAATGGATCTCATGAAGGTAGAGAGTAGACTGGTGGTTACCAGAGGCTGGGAAGGGTAGGAGGGTGAGGGGACGGAGACAAGTTGATTAACAAGTAGAAATGTACAGTGATAGAAGAAATGAGATCTAGTGTTTGATAAATCACTAAGGTGATTACAGTCTACAATAATTGTGTATTTCAAAATAGCTATAAGAAAATTTGAATGTTTCTAGCATAAAGAAAAGATAAATATTTAAGGTAATGAATATCCCAATTACACTGATTTGATCTTTACATATATGAATGGGCTGTGCGTGGTGACTCACGCCTGTAACCTCAGCACTTTGGGAGGCTGAGGTGGGAGGATCACTTGAGGTCAGGAGCTCAAGACCAGCCTGGACAACATAGTAAAACCCCAAATCTACTAAAAATGAAAAAAAATTAGCCAGATGTGGTGCCACGTGCCTGTAGTCCCAGCTACTGGGGCGGCTGAGGCAGGAGAATTGCTCGGACCTGGGAGGCAGAGGTTACAGTGAGCCGAGATCATGCCACTGTACTTTAGCCTGGGAAACAGAGCGAGACTCTGTCTCAAACACACACACACACACAAAGACCAAATTACATAAATGTATTAAATTCTCACAGGTACCTCTAAAATATGTGCATCTATTATGTATCAATTAAAAATAAAATAAATTCAGCTCAGCAAACATTGAGGACATTCCATGTAGGAAACGAAGGTGAATAATACTGAGTCTGTGCCTTTGAATAGCTCACAAATTTTAGGACAATAGCTCTCAATTTTTGAGAACACTGGAAGAGAATCACGTTTTTGGGAGCAATAGTATAGTTCGGTTTTGGACACTGTCAGCTTGAGATACTTGTGAGACGTCCACGTAGGAATATTGAGTAGTTTAGCCAAAACACATTGGGTGATTGTGTGATCCAGTATTACTCCTTTAGTAATTATGAGGTGTGGCCCAAGGTGCCTTCTATTTACCTGGGCTCTTGTTAAAATAGGAATGGGGGAAGTCAGTAAGTCTGCAGCTGTCAGGGGCCGTAGCTCTAATGAACGCCCACATGATGCCAACGATACTGATCCACAAACTTCACCTTCATGTGTATGTTGTTGTAGTAACAAGAAAGCTACCTAAGCATAATTTATTTATAGCAAGTGTATTAAGACAAAACCACCCAAGTCCTTCACTGGCAGGTGTAGGAATATGTACTATGATTCTGAAAAAGATGTAGAACTACGAAAGTTTGTCCGGAATTGGCAGATTCTTAGTCTCACTGACTTCAAGAATGAAGCCGCAGATCCTCGTGGTGAGTGTTATAGTTCTTAAAAGTGGCGTGTCCAGAGTTTGTTCTTTTTGACGTTCAAATGTGTTTGCAGTTTCCTTCTTCTGGTGGGTTCATGGTCTACACCAGCTCAGGAGGGAAGCTACAGACCTTCGTGGTGAGCCTCACAACTCACAAACTCAGTGTTGACCCAAAGAGCAAGCAGTAGCAAGACTTATTGCAGAGCAAAAAAAAAAAAAAACAAACTTTCCACAATCCGGAAGGAGACTCCAGCGAGTTACTACTGCTGGCTCGGGCAGCCTGCTTTTATTCTCTTCTCTGGCCCCACCCACATCCTGCTGATTGGTAGAGCCAAGTGGTCTGTTTTGACAGGGCGCTGATTGGTGCCTTTACAATCCCTGAGCTAGATACAAAGGTTCTCCACATCCCCACCAGATTAGCTAGATACAGTGTCCACACAAAGGTTCTCCAAGGCCCCACCAGAGTAGCTAGATACAGAGTGTCGATTGGTGCATTCACAAACCCTGAGCTAGACACAGGGTGCTGATTGGTGTGTTTACAAACCTTGAGCTAGATACAGAGTACCGATTGGTGTATTTACAATCCCTGAGCTAGACATAAAGGTTCTCCACGTCCCCACCAGACTCAGGAGCCAAACTGGTTTCGCGCAGTGGATCCCAGACAGGGGTTGCAGCTGGAGCTGTTTGCCAGTCCCGCGCCGTGCACCCGCACTCCTCAGCCCTTGGGTGGTCGATGGGACTGGGCGCTGTGGAGCAGAGCGCGGTGCTCATTGGGGAGGCTCAGGCCGCATAGGAGCCCACGGAGGGGATGGGAGGCTCAGGCATAGGCGGGCTGCGGGCCCTAGCCCTGCCCCGCGGGAACGCAGCTGAGGCCCGGCGAGAAATCGAGCGCAGCGCCGGTGGGCCGGCACTGGTGGGGGACCTAGTACAGCCTCCGCAGCTGCTGGCCTGGGTGCTAAGCCCCTCATTGCCCGGGGCCGGCAGGGCCGGCCGGCTGCTCCGAGTGCGGGGCCCGCCAAGCCCACGCCCACCGGGAACTCTAGCTGGCCCGCAAGCGCCGCGCACAGCCCCGGTTCCCGCTCGCGCCTCTCCCTCCACACCTCCCTGCAAGCTGAGGGAGCCGGCTCCGGCCTTGGCCAGCCCGGAAAGGGGCTCCTACGGTGCAGCGGTGGGCTGAAGGGCTCCTCAAGTGCCGCCAAAGTGGGAGCCCAGGCAGAGGAGGCGCCGAGAGCGAGCGAGGGCTGTGAGGACTGCTAAGGATGTGAAAGAGACATAATATGGTTTTATGCAGAATGCTTTTTGAAAGCCAGCCGTGTGTCAACTGCTATCTAGGCAGCAGAGGTAACAACAGTGAACCGTGAACAGGAAACCCAGGGAGCTTACATTCTGGAGGGAGGTGGACAGATAATAACAAGAAAACAAATAAGCAAAGTCATTTCAGATGATAGAAGTGCTGTAAAAAAAATAAAAATAGCATAATGCGATGCATCCTGGGGTGCTGCTCTAGTGGGAGGTAATTGTTGAGCCAAGAACTAACCATGCAGTGGAACCAGTCATGCAAGGACATGGGGTCAGAACATTCTGGGTACAGCAATAGTGTGTTCCTTTTCCTTGCAAGGGAAGAGGAAGGCAGCGGCCTTGAGGCAGGAGTGAGCAAGGAGGTAGGTGAGGATCAGTTACGTGTTACTGGACCCTGGGAAGCAGGAGGGGAAACAGTAGGAAATGAAGTCAAAAGATCAGCAAGGACCAAGTCATGCGGGGGCTCTGAAGCTGCAATAGAGAGTTTACATTTCATTTTAAATGTGGGAACAAAATAATTCAATTTTTTAAAAAGATAGCCAGGATCATAGATAGCCCTTGCTATCTTTTTTAAAAGGTGGCAAGCAAGCTCAGGACTGTGCTGTAGGAAGGTGAATCTGTCAGCAACATGTGGAACGGCCGGCAGAGGAAAGAGAGGCTCTTGAAATGCCTGCAATTGACGGTTAAGGAGAGCCTAAATGGGAAGTCAGACTTATGCTTCCAAATGAGGTTACAAGAAGTGACATACAAGATTCAAATAATACCCAACTCTCTTGATCCTAGGCATGCAAGGCCAAGAGCCTCTCAATAAGTCCCTCATTTAATCTCCACGACCCCACAATGCGTGTTAGAAATGCTGGTTTCCAGGGTTTTAACCTGGACCTGCTAAAAGAGAGACCACAAGGCCTCTGGTTGTCAATACATAACTGAGGCGGGAGAACAGGGTCTGGAGCTAGGGAACGTAAGTACTTCCTCGAACTAAATCAAATGAAAAACTCCAAGTCTCTACGACCAAGTAAGTAACTTTGTAACGTCACTTCATCCTCTTCATTTGCATAGGGTGTACACCAGGTAACCAATGGGAAACCTCTAGAGGGTATCTAAACCCCAGAAGATTCTGTAACCAGCTCTCTAGAGCCGCTTGCTCGGTCCTGCTCCCACCCTGTGGAGCGCTTCCGTTTTCAATACATTTCTGCCTTTGTTGCTTCATTCTTTCTTTGCTTTGTGTGGTTTGTCCAATTCTTTGTTCAAAACGCCAAGAACCTGGACACCCTCCACTGGTAACATAACTACTTTTGGGCAATTTTTAAATTCAGGGGAGGTTGGAATTAATGAGTGGGCCTCCACTTTCTTCTGCCAAAAGGGAATGAAGATGCTTATTATTTTCTGAGTGCTAGCATAGCTCTCTCTTACCCTTGGTGCCTTTCTTTAAATGCTGCAGCTCAACTTACAACCTGAGTAGTGAGATGGGAATTCCAGGATGAATCCACTTTAAACATACCAACTAGCTCACGTACCCCTGAACCTAAAATAAAAGTTAAAAAAAAAACATTAAAAAAGATTACAAAATATGTTCATGTATATTAACACTGTTCTGGTGATACGAACATTATGTAAATTAACTACTCGGTGTCTTGATTTAGTGTTATATAAACATTGCTAAAATTAAAAAAAAAAAACCAACAACTAGCAGGATGCTGGTGCCTCCTGAGGAAGCTCTGCTGCCTCTGGCAGGCATTGGTTTATTTAAAGCTAAGGCCAACCTTGGGGCAACGCTTTCCACTGCAATCCTCACGCATATTTTAATGTAAATGAGTTTCAGATCCTTTTTGAGAGAAGATTTTGCCTGGGAAATGGGACAGATCTGGGCCTAGAGTGCCTGGTAACGAACTTAGGGGAATAGAATGGGGAAGGGGATAGGGGAAGGAGGTGGCCTAGGGCACTGCACTTCACTTCCTTCACACATTTGCCCAGAGCCAGGAAACAGCCCTCGCCCCCTTCCTGAGCAGAGGGCTCTTAAAATAATGAAGAAGAAGAAAAAAATGTGGGTTTATAACTTTGCATTATTTGTGCTTGATTAGATTCTAACCTTAAAATATATATTTCTTTAAAAAGAAAACTCTGATCTGCATTTTTGACCATTTTTCTCTTGGCGTAGCTACTAGGCTGCCTTTTGCCATCTCCAGACCAGAAAAGCTTTCCTGGGCACAGGGAAGCCACAAGGCACAGTGGGGAGAATTGTGCACTTCAAATTTAATGTCATAGAAATAGGGAGATGACAGAAGCAGAAGGAAGGAAAGTCACCACTCACCATGCACTGACAGCATGCCCTGCTCTGTGCAGACATCTCTCCTGTAGATTAACTCAAGGGCTCCCCACTTTCCTCTGGTTTTCCTTTGAATCCCCACGATCGTAGATTTGCTCAAATGGTGACCACCCCTCCTGCCGAGTAATCTGTGTAAGCAGTAGCAATACCTAATATTTACCGCCCTTGTAACACACGCTAGGTGTTTTCCAGGAATTCCTTCATTGAATACTCTCAACACCTTAAGAGATGGGTCCTCATTTTCAAATAAAATTACTGACCCCTAGAGATACTGAGTGTCTTGTCCAGAATCAACAGTGCCATGATTTGATCCTAAGCCACTGGGTTCTAGAGATCATCGGTTTAGCTCTTACGTGATAGTGCTTTGACTTGTCAGGAAAGGCACAAAATTATACTTGCTCTGGTAAAATTCCCCGCTAATTTTATGTTTGAGGTCTTCAGGCTTCTTATTTTTTTTTTTTTTTTGCTCCCTTTTCTCCCTAAAAGCATCTCCTCTTCAACTTAGGTACCCAAAGCCTTGTCATATTATATATGTCATATTACATATCCCACTACCACCACCACCTCTTTTCTTAAAAGATTTACCCAATAAGATTTACTCATTCATGCTGCTATGCCTTCTAGGCACAAATGCATTTTTGGACTTTTCATCTCTATGAAACATTTTTTTCTTCTGAGAATTTTCAGCTATCCAGTAGCAGATCCATTTGCCTCTTGACCATGGTTTTGAGATGTCTTGGAATACCTGGGTGTGGAAACCTTCTCTCTAGGGTTTCCTGCTTACCTGCAGAGGGTGAGCCTCAGAACCAGACACTGGATGTATGTTCTCTGGGAGATGTTGAGCATTCATTCATTTATTCATTCATTCATCAAGTATGTATGATTGCTCCGACTGGCACTGGAGACTCTGGAAATCAAAACAAACATTGCTCCTTCTACCACAAAGCTCACAATGCACAGTCAATGACAGACATTAAGTAAGAAACTTCGATGAAAAATATATAGTTCTCAAACTACCTATTGGGTACAATATTTGGGTGATGGGTACACTAGAAGCCCAGATTTCACCACTATACAATTCATCCATGTAAGCAAAAACAACTTGTACTTTTAAAGCTATTTAAATTTTTAAAAAGGGGATTGTAACAACCTTCTTGATAAAAAAAAAAAAAAAGAAAGAACACTCCTCACCTCCATTTGTCGTTTCTTTTTTTGTTGAGACAGAGTCTTGCTCTTTCGCCCAGGCTGAAGTGCAGTGGCGCGATCTCGGCTCACTGCAAGCTCTGCCTCCCGGGTTCACACCATTCTCCTGCCTCAGCCTCCTGAATAGCTGGGACTACAGGTGCCCGCCACCACACCCGGCTAATTGTTTGTATTTTAAGTAGAGACGGGGTTTCACTGTGTTAGTCAGGATGGTCTCGATCTCCTGACCTTGTGATCCGCCTGCCTCAGCCTCTCAACCATTTGTCTTTTCTTTCCTCTTCCTTTCTCCCACCATTGGCATACCTTTGCCCCAAGGCTCCCAAATGCTGTGTGTGTTTACCCTTCTTTCCTCCCTGGTGCCAGTATCCTGGCTTGGACCTATCTCACTTCTGCCTAAGGGATGATCATCATGTTTGAACCAGCTCATTGTCAGCCAGGAAACCCATGGTTTAGTGGCCATTTTTCTCTGCTATGAAACTTCTGGTCATTTGAAACATGCAGGACAGGGTACAGCAAAAAGAACAGAGAGTAGTTGGTGGTCAAGTTCACAATGCCCATTAATTCATTCATGTATTCATTCAGCAAACATTCATTAAACAGTATCTGCCAGGAATTGAGACATAGAAAAAACACATAATTGTTGCATAGTAGAAAGGCTATAAATGTCTAAAGGTAAGAATCCCCTGTATCATCTTCATGCCTCTGTCCCTGATATTTAACTCTCTCCTTAAATATCACAAGGTGGGCACTCAATAAATATTTGTAAAATAAAAGAATGAACTCATATCTTGGCAGAAAATACAGGTATGTAAAGGACTGTAATAAAGTGGGATGACCATTCATTCAACAAATATTGATTGAACGTCTACTAAGTGCTAAGTACTACGTCAAGCCAGACAGATGCAGTCCTTGGTCTTAAGAAGTTCACAGTTAAACATTTGCATTGTAAGTATTAAAGCTGTGATGAGTGATGTGAAAAAGGCCAAGGCCTAGAGAGCATGTAACAAGATGTTTGCCTGGCACATGTGAAAGCCCAGTACCCCCCAAAAATGTCAGATTACATTTCAAAAATGGAAAGATTGATAGAGTTGAAACATTTTAAATGAGGGAAAAGAAAGAGTAGGAAAAGATGAGGTTAGAAAGAAAGCAAAGATTGGATTCCCAGGGTAAATGAGGAATGCAGGGCTTATCTCAAGAACAATGAGAAGCTTTTCTAAGGTTTTAAGCAGAAGCAAGGTATGGTAAGTTTTAAATTTCATAAAGTCACTCTGCCTTGAGGACAAAGAATGTCAGGAGATCAAGAGTGTATGCTGGGTTCGGTGGCTCACGCCTGTAATCCCAGCATTTTGGGAGGCCGAGGTGGGCGGGTCACCTGAGGTCAGGAGTTCGAGACCAGCCTGGCCAACATGGTGAAACCCCTCCTCTACTAAAAATACAAAAAATTAGCCTGGTGTGGTGGTGGGCACCTGTAATCCCAGCTACTCGGGAGGCTGAGGCAGGAGAATCACTTGAACCCAGAAGGCAGAGGTTGCAGTGAGCCCAGATTGCGCCATTGCACTCCAGCTTGGGCAACAAAAGCAAAACTCCATCTCAAAAACAAAAAAAAGAGTGGACAGTTGGAGACCAGTTAGGATGCTACTGCAGTAATCTAGGTGTGGAGTGACGTTGTTTTGAACTACAAGGGCAATATTGCAGACAGAAAGAAGTGGACTGATCCTAAATATATCTTGGATGTAGAATTGATAGACCTTGATAATTGGATGGTGGGTGGGCTAGGCAATAACAGCAGGGAGAGGGACTGTCAAGCATAACTCTTAAGTATCTTGGCTTGAGAAATTTCATGAATGTTTATGTCATTTTTTGGCATTTAAAATACTGGGGAACAATCGTGTTTTTGGATAAACATTATTGATTAAGTTGTGGATACTGTCAACTTAAGATACCTGTGAAAGACCTAGATGGAAATGTTGAATAGTTTAAATGATATTAATTAGGTGACTGCCTGACCCAATATTATTCCTCTAGTAATTATGGGTGTTCATATGGCCCAATTCAAATCAATCAGAATATCATCATGCCCAGAACACAATGACTGATTCCTAGAAAAGCCATATGAGCCTCACTGGACCAATCTAATTACTTCTCTTAATCTGAATGGGGAGAACAGATTTTTATACTCCGGTTGCAGAGCTGTGACCCTGTAAGTTCAGAGCTGTTGATGAACATGTCACCTCTGTGGGGATGATGTTGGATTGAAAAAATGAGGGTACCATACAGAGAAAGAAGAGGCAGAAGAAAAGACTACTGAGAATATAGGCATTCCCTTGTTTCTGTCCCTGGCTTGGTTACATGAGCTGAGTTGGTATTTGTCTATTAATACATTTCTTTCTCTGTCTCTGTCTCTCTTTCTCTTTCTCTCTCTGTGTCTCTGACTCTGCTTTATTTTAGCTAGTTCTCAGTGGTATTTTATCATTTATAATCATTCATGATGATGCTAGCAATTTAAGTATGCAGTTGGATTTGCAATTTCTCTTACTCAGAAAGAGATTAACTGTAGACATGTTGTTGAAAGTTGTAGATATTGATTTAGAATTTGAAGCCAGGGAGTGAATTAGATCACCAAGAAAGAAAGAGGAGAACTGAGGTATAAACTCTAAGAATTCTAACACTAAAGTTTCAGGAGAGGTGGATGAATTCTCAAGGAAATTGGAAGAAATGCCTCAAGTCATTGGAGGAAAACCAATAGATTGTGGTGTGTAAGAAGCCAAGGGTGTTTTAAAGATGTGGTGGTCAACTGTATAGAATCTTCAAGACAGGGAAAAAGTGCAGTAAGAACTGGCAATCAGCCATTGGATTGGGTAGTGCAGAAGTCATTGCTGCATTTTCCAAGAATAATTTCAGCAGAGTGGAGGGGTCAGAAGCCAGTTGGAGTGAATTGAAAAGGAAATGGAAGTGGGAAAGTAAAGCCTGAATATGGAAACAATTCTTTTAAGGATTTTAGCTGTGAAGGGGAGACTATGGAAAGGATGGCAACTGGAGAGGGAGCTCCAGAAAGGATATTGTTTACTTTTTTTTTCTTTTGGATGAGAGGGACTAAAACCAAATTATATTTAAAGATCTATTAGATCTTTAAATCTAATAGAGGGACTAAAACCAAATTATATTTGGTTTAAATCTTTAAATCTAATAGATGGACTAAAACCCAATTATATTTAAAGATCTATTAGATCTTTAAATCTAACAGAGGGACTAAAAACCAAATTATATTTAAAGATCTATTAGAACACACAGGAAGGAGCAGCTAACTCTGCCTAGGTGAGTAGAGAAAGATTTCCTCAAGGAAGCTGGGTCTTAAATGGCAAGTAAAGCTGGCAAGTAAACATTTCCTCAAGGAAGCTGGGTCTTAAACGGCAAGTAAAAATGGCAAGGAAGCTGGGTCTTAAATGGCAAGTAAAAACTTTCAATAAAAGAAGGCATTGGCCGGGTGCAGCGGCTCACGTCTGTAATCCCAGCACTTTGGGAGGCCGATGCAGGTGGATCACCTGAGGTCAGGAGTTTGAGACCAGCCTGGCCAACACGGTGAAACCCTGTCTCTACTAAAAATACAAAAATTAGCCAGGTGTTATGGTGGACGCCTGTAATCCCAGATACTCAAGAGGCTGAGGCAGGACAATCGCTTGAACCAGGAAGGTGGAGGTTACAATGAGCCGAGATTGCACCACTGTACTACAGCCTGGACAACAGAGCAAGACTCCATCTAAAAAAAAAAAAAAAAAAAAGGCGTTGCATAGAAAAGGAAGATTGTATGCAAAGACACAGTGGTGTGTTTGGGGGATGTTCAATAGGTCAGGGCATGAAAAACTTTAGCTCTGGACCTTGTTAGGGAGAAAGAAAAATGCCACAAGGCTTTTTGTACCTTTTATCTTTGTTCTTAACTTCATCTTTAAAATAATTAGATCAGGCCTGATTATGTTTAAGGTCTACTCCACTATTAAAATCCATAGTGACTGTTTCGTTAGATTGATAATACTCCCAGAAATGAATAATCCACTGCAGATGTTTCCTGAAATTATGCTCTATAATGTGTGGTGAGAGGCTCCTAGGAAGTTGGAGGCTCAGCCTAAAGTGGCCCACTTAGAAAAAAAAATTGTGAAGCATATTTGAAGTTTATTGTGTTTTATCTTAAAAGATCATGTACATCCTATTTCTGAATAGATCTGGCAGGATTTTCTTAATAAAGTGTTTTATTATTATTCACTGATGTCCCGGGAAGATAGGCCAGCCTCAGCCTTTAGATTTAATTATTTCCTGGTAGCTACTTACATAAACTCTGAGTAACAATGAAAGTCCATGCCTGGAACCTATTTTCTACTCTGAGTCTTCTCACTTGCCCACTCACTGCCAGCTTCACAGAGGCACAGTCTGAGCACCAGCTCTCTGCAGAAGTGAAATACAGTGGAACGTGGGGATGAGAAGAGGAGAGCAGCAAGAGTAGTTTCACTGGGTTAACTGATCTGTATCAACGTCCTGGGCTGGAGAGAATCAAGTAATGGCATGATGAGCCTTAGCATCTTAGCTGCTCACATATCACATTATTCACATCCACTTGGCTATATGAATTTTCTTTATAAAATAATATGAGAGGCCAGGCATGGTGGCTCATGCCAGTAATCCTAGCACTTTGTGAGGCCAAGGCGGGCAGATTGCCTGAGCTCAGGAGTTCGAGACCAGCCTGGGCAACGTGGTGAAACCCTGTCTCTACTAAAATACAAAAAAAATTAGCCGGGCATGGTGGTGGGCACCTGTAGTCCCAGCTACTCGGGAGGCTGAGGCAAGACAATTGCTTGAAACTGGGAGGTGGAAGTTGCAGTGAGCCGAGATTGAGCCACTGCACTTCAGCCTGGGCAACAGAGCAAGACTCTGGTCTCCAAAAAAAAAAGAATATGAGATATAAAATCCACATCATATTGCCTGAAAGAAAATCGCAACACACATTAATTAGATTCTTGGCAAAAGACTGAAAAAAATGTCCCAGAACTGTTGAAGCAAGTTATTTTTAGACAACTTTACTCTAAAATATGTTGGTTCCTCTGAATGAGTTCACAGCGTATACTGCATACCCCTTTGGTCTGATCCTCTTGAACAAAAACACCTCCATTTTTCCTTTTTATTACATAATAAAATAAAATGAGCAGTCTCCCAGCGCCATCCCAGAAGTACTCCTCCACTGAATGCTCTTTTTTTGTTGGCTTCTATCTACACATTTGCCTTCCTGTGAACCCTTTGCCCTACTTTTGTAACCTAAAGACATTAATAGAAACTTAAGTTCTTTCCACCATTCATTTTGTTTTTTGGTTGTCCCCATTTTTAACTCATGAGGTCACTCTGTGTTTCATCAGATTTCCTACACTGCAGCCTTCTGCTATTTTTCTACTAGAACAGCCGAGGACTAACACTTTATATGGCATTGCAAGGGAAGAAGGATTAAGCCATTGGTAGTTGCAGAGATCTGACTTGGTGATAAGAGATCTGCCAGTGATTAGAGACCCCACCTAGTTGGTCTTAAAATGGAATTAGTCCAGATGGTGCCAATGGGAATTAAGGGACTGCATGGTCCCAGAGCAAACACAATACCTGTCTTTTGGATGCTCTTAATCTCAGGGGCAAAGGAGGGAAATGGGGCTTTCAGAGGCTGAGCCACACATTCCCCCGTGATTATAGTGGTAAATACTTGTGATTTAAAGTGACTGTTTATCAGATACTAGAAATGTCTTTTAAATCCTTAAAGGAGTATAAAGGTCTGTTTGAGAGTCACGTGTTATGGAAATTAACAGGAGTTTTAAAGTCATTTATACATATTTCTGAGACTGCATCTACAAAGGTTTTCAATAATCTTCATTAAATATATATCTTTGGGACGAAACACAAGATTCATCTAGAAAACATGACTTGCGGATAAATATGTTTTCTTTGTGTACCTTTTTTGCTTACAGAACCTCTTCTATGTATAGCTGGACAAATTTCAGGCGCTATATGCAAATAGGCATACCAAGAGTGCTTACTTCTTTGTTTCCAGTTTCCTAGAATTTGGCATCAGAGTTAAAGTAGATTCTTGGTAAATGTACTGTTTTTAGGTACTAGGAAAATCAGAGGCTGTCTGTACTCACAAGGTTTTTCCCCTTAAATTTGTCCTTATCAACTTGTCTGATGACAGGAGGGGCATGGTGGCTCATGCCTGTAATCCCAGCATTTTGGGAGGCTGAAAAGGGAGGATTACTTGAGTCCAGGAGTTTGAGAACAGCCTGGGCATCATAGCAAGACTCTATTCTACCAAAAAATAATTTTTAAAAATTGTCTGATAACAGATCAATGTCCAGTCTTCAGCTTTAAGCTCAAATCTTTGGTGAAATGCACATAATCTGACTGAAATATTTTTTTGTATTGTTATTCATTATACTTTAATGTAAATGAACATTCTCAGAGACTTTGACAAGGAGTGGAGAGGAAAGCTCAGGGGACTGAGTTGCTGTGGGTGATAATGAGGAAAGCATCTCTGAGAGTGAAAATGAATACATCCTGACAGCTTAGTTCAACAGTTATTCATGGGGTGGCCTTGCTCTCGTTCATGAAACTAGTGCATTTCCTTCAAAGGGGAGGAGCTTCCAAACTTTAACATGCTATGTGTGCAAATAGGAATGGAATATATAGTGTCATGGAATCTAAGTCCAGCTGCCATTTTTGGAGGCTCCCTCTTGTGGGCATGCACCCATCTATGTCAATGTGGGCAAATCAAACTTGCCGCCATTAAGAAGTCTTAGACGCGTGCATATAATGCACGTTCTTCATGGTCAACTTTCTTACTGCTGGATGACAGAATTGACTTTTGAGGCTGAATGATGCCAAAATTTCTTGTCACATTACAGAGTTTGCATGTAGTTTTCCTTTCTTTCGATATCTTTGGTTTTGGTGTCAGGTAATACTGGTCTTATAGAAGAAAGCCTCTCATCTTTTATTTTTTGGAAAAGTTTACGAAGGGTTGGCATTCTTCTTTAAATGTTTGGTAGAATTCACCAGTGAAGCCACTTGCACCTGGGCTTTTCATTGTGAAAAGTTTTTGTTGTTGTTGTTAATTTTTATTACTATATGTGTAAGGAAAAAGAAAGATTAGTGGTTGCCTAGTGACCTCTAGGTAGTGACTAATTGCCTAGTGATTTCTAGGAGAAGCTCAGGGTTTCTTTTTGGGGTGATGAACATATTCTATAATTAGATTGTGGTAAGGTTGTGTAATTATGTGAATATACTAAAAATCACTGAATTGTTCACTTTAAATGAGCGAACTAGTATGTGAATTATATTTTTGTGAAGTCATTTAAAAAACAGGTATTGATTCTTTTCATCCTCTCTACTGCTTCTCTTGTTTCTATATTATTAATTTCTGCTTTCTTAAAACTTCTTTAGATTGCTCTTTCTTAAACTTAATTATATTTACTTTATTAATTAATTTAATTAAAATTACATGTTTACCTTTAAGAAGCACTTACAGCTAACATTTTTATAGGTAGTACTTTTATTCTGTTGTAAATATTTTTTAATTCTGTCATAAATGTCTATGTCCCTAAAATCATAGGCTTAAAATACGTAGGTATTTGAATATTTTGCAACATTTACTGTGATTTCCCTTTTTGTCCTCATGAGTTACCTAAGAAGACATGTCAAAAGTTTTCCAGATATGTTTGTGTTTCCTATCTCTTAGTGAATTTCAATTTTTGTTACCATGTGTACTTATCTTTACTCTTACTAATGCATTATGTCTGAAATTCTATTTTGTCTAATACTGATATTGTTACACAAAATTTCTTTGCTTATGTTAAAATAAAAACTTTAGACTAATTAAATTTGGCAGACTTTATTTGAGCAAAGAAAGATTCATGAATCAGGAAGCATTCAAGCCAGAAGGGGTTCAGAGAGCTCTGCCTAGCAATGCAAGCAGCAAGCTTTTACAGGCTGAACACAGAAGCAAAGTAGAGAAATCACCTGATTGGTTACAGGTAAACTTCAACTTTATTTGAACCTGGTGTGATGTGGCACTTTCCTGTTTGGGCATGGCATAATGAGTTGGCTGCCTGTGATTGGCTGAAACTCAGCTATTTGTTGAACTCCTAAATTAAGTTTCAGTTTGTTTACGCACTAAGTTAGGTTGCAGTTTGTTATGTAGGAATTCAAAGAATCAACACAGCCTCAGGCTAATGGCCTTCTACTTATTTAACAATTATTAATTGCAAGTTTTCACTTTTCCCATTACTTTCAATCTTTCTGTCTGATTGTGCTGGAGATTTTTAGTGTTTCTTATAGACATCAACTAGCTAGCTTACAAAGCTCTATCTGTTAGTTTCTGTCATTTATCAGATGCATTTAATTCATTTTCACTGTCATAATCACTGATATATTTGCATTTATTTCTACTACCCTATTTTCCTTTTACTATCCATTTTTATTGGATTTAAAAAATGTATTTCCATGCCTTCTTTTGGATAAAGCTGTTTTTTAATAATATCCTTCATGAATATTACCCCCCACTGTTGGCTTGGAAGCATTTCTATCATTTTAAGGTATTTCAATTACCATCTCTAATCTTCAACTATAATATTTTTCCTAACATCTAAATTTATTGAGAAAATTCCTGAATGTTACAAAACCCCTGGGTATATTTAACTACCTATTAAATAACTACCTCCTAGAGATTTTAAAGATTTCCCAAAATTGCTAAACTAGCTTTTAAAATTGTCAACATTAAATTAATAAACCGACAATTTGTTAATATTGTGTTTACCACTCTTTCTTGTATCCTATGTGCCTTCCCTCTGGGTCGACTTTTCTTTTTGCTTAAATATATCCTTTAATATTTGTGCTCATGAGCATCAATTAATGGTAAACTCTCTAGGCTCTTTAAGAGTCTAAAGGTCTAAAGTTGCCTTTGTCTTTTTTTTTTTTTTTTTTTTTTGAGATGGAGTCTCACTCTGTTGCCCAGGCTGGAGTGCACTGCTGTGGTCTCGGTTCACTGCAACCTCTGCCTCCCAAGTTCAAGCGATGCTCCTGCCTCAGCCTCCTGCGTAGATGGGACTACAGGCACGTGCCACCACCCCCAGCTCATTTTTTGTATTTTTAGTAGACACAGGTTTCCTCCGTATTAGCCAGTACGGTCTCAATCTCCCAACCTTATGATCCACCCCACCTCAGCATCCCAAACTGATGGGATTACAGGTGTGAGCCACCCCACCTGGCCTATTTCTTCTCATTTTTTAAATCATAGTTGGGGAATAAAACTTTAGTCTGAGTTAATTTTACTGAACATTTTGAGCATGATTCTTTCCTGAAATCCTCTGGTGACTGAAATCAGTGGGTTCTTGGTCTCCCTAACTTAAAGGGTAAAGCCGCAAACCCTTGCAGTGAGTGTTACAGTTCTTAAAGGTTGTGGGTCTGGAGTTTGTTCCTTCAGCTGTTCAGACAGGTTCAGGGTTTTTTCCTTCTGGTGGGTTCGTGGTCTTGCTGGCTTCAAGAGTTAAACTGCATACCTTCCTGATGAGTGTTATAGCTCTTAAGGTGATGTGTCTGGAGTTGTTCATTACCCTTTCACGGTCTTGCTGGCTTCAAGAGTGAAACTACAGACCTTTGCAGTGACTGTTACAGCTCACAAGAGCAGTGCAATGCTGACCCAAAGAATCAACAACATCAAGATTTATTTTAAAGAACCAAAAAACAAAGCTTACACAGAGTACAAGCACACCCAACCAAATTGCCACTGCCGGGCTGGAGCAGCCTGCTTTTATTCCCTTCTTTGGCCCCACCCACATCCTGCTGATTGGCCCATTTTACAGAGAGCTGATTGGTCTGTTTTGACAGGGTGCTGATTGGTGCATTTACAATCCCTGAGCTAGACACAGAGTGCTGATTGGTGCGTTTACAATCCTTTAGCTAAACACAAAAGTTCTCCAAGTCCCTACTAGATTAGCTAGACACAGAGCATTGATTGGTGCATTTACGAACATTGAGCTAGACACAGAGTGCTGATTGGTGCATTTACAATCCGTTAGGTAGACACAAAAGTTCTCCAAGTCTCCACCAGATTAGCTAGACACAGAGTGCTGATTGGTGCATATACAATCCTCCAGCTAGACATGAAAGTTTTTCAAGTCAGGACTTGACTCAAGAGCCCAACTGGCTTTGCCTAGGCTCCACCTAGTGGATCCCTTGGCCGGGTCACGGGCGCAGCTGCCTACCACTGCCGCACCGCACCTGCGCTTCTCAGCCCTTGGGCGGTCAGTGGGACCCGGCGCCACGGAGCAGGGGGCGGTGCCCGTTGCGGAGGCTCGGGCCGCGCGGGAGCCCACCATGGGGGGGGCTCGGGAATGGCGGGCTGCAGGCCCCGAGCCCTGCCCCTCTGGGAGGCGGCTGAAACCCGGTGAGAATTCGAGCGTGGCGCGGGTGGGCCAGCAGTGTTTGGGGACCCGGAGCACTCTCCACAGCTGCTGGTCCAGGTGCTAAGTCCCTCACTGCCCAGCACCTGCAGCGCCGACCGGCCGCTCTTGAGTGCGGGGCCTGCAGAGCCCACGCCCACCCGGAACTCGCGCTGGCCCGTGAGCGCCGTGCCGCAGCCCCGGTTCCCGCCCGCGCCTCTCCCTCCACACTTCGCCGCAAGCAGAGGGAGCCGGCTCCGGCCTCAGCTGGCCCAGAGAGGGGCTCCCTCAGTGCAGTGGCGAGCTGAAGGGCTCCTCAAGGGCGGCTGGAGTGGACGCTGAGGCCGAGGAGACGCCAAGAGCAAACGAGGGCTGCTAGTACATTGTCACCTCTCACTGGTAACTACAGTTGCTGTCAGTTTAACTGTAAGTCCTTTGTAAGTAACCTGTCTTTTTATGTCTAGTAGCTTTGAAGGGTTTCCCTCTCTATTTGTTTTCAATGATTTCTAGTTTCACTACATATATTATCTTGTACAATTACCATCTATACCTCTGGGTGCTTGGACTTTGCTCTGAAGACTCGTCTTCACCTCTGGAAAAGCATCAGCAAATACCTCTTCAAATATTGCCTTTCTACCTTTTTGGAAATTCTGTTAGCCGTGTGTAAGTCAGATCTTTCGTTTATCCTCCAAGTCCTTTATTTTGTTATTTTTTTCTCTTTGTCTCTGTGATGCGTTCCAGTGAAATCCTCAGTAGTATCTTGTAGTGCCCTTGTACTTTCTATACAATCTCTCTACCAAGATTTTTTCCAATAAATTTGTTTTTTTGTGTTTAAATTTTTTACATTTTTTAGATCTACCTGTTTTGCTTAATTTATTCTTATTTTTGTTTGCCAATTTTATATCTTATTTTCAGTGGATATTATTTAACTTCTCTTTTATTACCTTAAATGTGCCTATTTAAAAGCCTTTGTCAGACTATTCTTGTACTTTAGTCAAAGGCGGCTTCTTCTTGGTGATTTATATTGGCTTTGCATAGCATTTCTTTATCTTGGTACTATGGTTTCTAGGCTCATTTTAAGAAACAGTTAAGCCTTTTTGGTTTTTGTTTTTCTTCTCTCCTACTCTTTCCTCTCTAGTTTTGTGATAGCCTCCACCTAGCTTCCTGGGGCTCCTTAACCAAAACATGTCTTATGTTGCAGATTTGAACTTCATATAATTTAAGGATTATGACCTCAAAGATTATGATATCAAAGACTAAGGCTTATGGCCAATTTGGTCATAGAACCAGCAGTCAGTTTCAGATCCTGGAAATGAGGCTGTTTTATTTCCTACCAAGGAGGCAATATTCCCAGGAAACAATTAGCAGAAACTTCCCAAGACTTTTCTGTTTCCTTGTTTAAATTAGGGGGATTTCTATCCCAATCTCTGGCTTGATTCCTGTTGCCATTTTATGTAGAGTAATTTTAATTACCATTACTTCAGATGAGCCAAATTCCCAGATGTCTTTGCTTGCTTCCTGCCCCAGAAGTAGGCCCAGAGATTTGTGTATACACTACTGACTGCCTTGTTTTCCGGTCCAGGTGCCTGGTGTGGTTCATAGAAATTTTTGTCTTGCTTTAAACCTGCTTATATCATTTTACTTATTCGTATTTTCCTGTCATTGTTCTTGTTTGAAGCAGAGTTGGGTATATAAGGCATGTACTTACTAATATAATCTTGATGCCTCCTTAGATGAGTCTTCTGTAAATATAACATACAAATTCCTTTAAAATTCCTTGGGGCCAACTGAATTAAACACTTTCTTTGTTGAGATGTTAGCAAGATGGTGGAATAAGACTTTGCAATACTTGTCCCCAAATAGAAACTTCAATCTGAATAACTATCCACGCACAAAAATACCTTCACAAAAGCTAAGAAAACCAGGTGACAGATAACAGCACCTATTCTGTGTGTAGCACAGAAATAAGAAAAGACTCGTTGAAGAGAGTAGGAAGGACAGTTTTACATTACCTGCATCATCCATCCCCCAACACCAGGCAACACAGCATAGAGAGAAATACCCTCTGCTTGAAGAAAGGAGAGGGGAGTGAGCACTGGACTTTGTCTTGAACCCCAACACCAGGCCTACACCAGTAAAACCCAGTACTGGGCAGGTCCGACAGCCCCAGACTTTAAGCTGGTACCTGAGGATGGAGTCTCCATTCCTGCCTCAATACCAGCAAGATCCTGCAGCCTCAAGCTCCAGGCTGTTCGGTGAACTTGATCCTTGGCCCTGCTCTACCACCAGGCTTACTCTAACAGTCGCAGGCTCTAGATTGGTCCCAGTGTCAGTGGCCCCAGTGGCCCCAAGGTTTGGGTCTGCCCCAGAGCCAGGCCAGCCCTCATAGACTGAGTCTCCAGGCCTTCCCTAGAACCAGGACTCGCCAGTCCCATAGTCCCAGGTTTCAGGCCCACTCAACACCAGGCCAGCTTGAGGTTCCAGGTTAGCTCAGAGCCACGTTGGTCCACACAGCTCCAGGCTTCAAGCCCACCTCAACACCAGATTGACACGTCTGGCCCCAAGTGCCAGGCCAGCACCCATGGACACAGGTTCCAGGCTTGCCCAGTGTCAGGCTGGTCTCTGAAACTCCACCCTCTAGGCTGGCCTATGCAGCTCCATACTCCATCAGACACAGGGTCCAGACTCATTCAGTAAACCTCAGTGCTGGCTGGTTCCCACAACCTCAGACTCCAGACCAGATCCTGTGGCTCCAGGCACAGGCCAATAACTGCAATTCCAGGCTCTATACCTGCCCCAGCACATGGCCAGCCAGCTCCAGGCTCCAAGCTGGTCCCCTGGGTCTGCTCCAGCAAACCCAGGTTCCAGGATACACTACAGATCCAGGCTCCAAAACAGCTCCCATAGGCCCAGGATCCAGGTTTGTTCACATGGACTGAGGCTCCAGTCTTGCCCCAGCACTAGGCCAGACCCTGTGGACTCAGGTTCTAGTGGTCTCAGGCACCAGGCTCATCCCAGCACTTGGATGGCCCCTCCATACTCAGGCTCAAGGTCTACCCCAGTGCCAGGTCAGCCACAGGGGACCCAGGCTTCAAGTCAGGACCCCACAGATACAGGCTGCAGGCCCACCCTTGCAGATCCAGGCTACAAGTACATCCTCTCAGACTCAGTCAACAGGTATATTACATTGGCTACAGGCTCCAGACCTAACCTGGACCCAGGCATTAGGCCCACCTACCTGCTGATCCAGGTACCAGGCCAGCTTGCCCAAGGATTCCAAAAGCAAGCCTACCTGTGGACCATGACAGATGGCATTCCTAGAATCTCTGAGGGGACTGACTGGTGAAGGGATTTCCCAGACAAAGCCAGTCTGCAAAGAATAAGTAGGAGATAACCTACTTCTCCAAATGCACAGACACCAATGTACAACCACAAGGATCAAAAACAATCAGGGAAATGTCACCACCTAAAGAACTAAGTAAAGCACCAGTAACCAACCTTAAAGAAATGGAGATGTATGAAATGGGTGACAAAGAATTCCAAATAATGGTCTTAAGGAAGTTTAACAGACTTCAAGAAAACAGAACAAAAATCAGGAGAACAATAAATGACCAACATAAGAGATTAAAATCATTTAAAAAATATCAAACATAGATTCTTTAGTTGAAAAAAGAATGAAATTAAAAATGCAAAAAAAAAAGTCAACAGCAGAATTGATCAAGCAGAAGAAAGACTCAGAATTGATCAAGCAAAATCAAAGACAGATTACTTTAAAATACACAGAGGATAAAATGCAATGAAAAGGAATGAAGAAAGCTTATGAGATTTTTGGGACAGCATCAAAAGAGCAAATATTTAAGTTTTAGGAGTTCAAGAAGGAGAAAAGACAAAGGGGTAGAAAGTTTATTTAAAGCAAAGTTTATAGCAGAAAACTTTCCAAACCTGGAGAAAAAGGTAAATATCCAAGTATGGGAAGGTCAAAAGTTCTCTAATTCAATTCTACCTAAACAAGACTACAGCAAAACATAATAAAATTGTCAAAAATCAAAGACAGGATCCTGAAAGCAGCAAGAGAAAAAAAAAAAATCACATAGGGCATTTCAGTAAGGCTAGCAGCAAATTTCTTACTAGAAATCTTATAGGTCAGAAGAGGGTGGCATAATATATTCCAAGTGCTGAAGGAAAAAAAAAGCTGCCAATCAAGAATACTGTACCCTGCACAGCTAGCCTTCAGAAATGACAGAGATATAAAAACTTTCCCAGACAAACAAAAACTGAGGGAGTTTGTCACCACAAGAACTATCTTATAAGAAACGCTAAAAGGAGCTCTTCAAACTGAAAGAAAAGAACACTAGTGACAGAAAAACATTTTAATGTATAAAAGTCACTGGTAAAAAAAATACAGTAAAATTCAGAATACTCTAATACTGTAGTGCTGGTATGTAAATCACATATCTTTTGTATGAAGTTAAAAGACAAAACTATTAAAAATAATGGTTACAATAATTTAAGTAATATGCAATATAAAAAGACGTAAATTGTCACATCAAAAACATTAAATGGAGAAGGGTGGAGCAAAAGTGTGGTGCTATTGTTTGAAATCAAAATGAAGTTGTTATCAGCTTAAAATAGCCTATTAAAACTAAAAGATGTTATATGTGAGCCTCATGGTGACCACAAAGCAAAAACCTATAGTAGATACACAAAAGATAAAATGTAAGAAATCAAAAATACTACTAGAGAAAAATAATCTAATCACAAAGGAAGACAGCAAGACAGGAAGAAAAGAACAAAAGATTATTACATTAACAACCAGAAATAATCGACAAAATGACAGTAGTAAGTCCTTGCCTATCAGTAATTATCTTGAATGTAAATGGATTAAATTCTCCTATCAAATGATAGGAGAGTGGTTAATGGGCAAAGAAATAAGACTGAATTGTATGCTGCCTACAATAAACTAACTTGACCTTTAAGGACAGACATAGACTGAAAGTGAAGGGATAGAAAAAGATAAAAAAGATATTTAATGCAAATGGAAACCAAAAGAGAGCTGGAGGGTAGCCATGCTTGTATCAGACAAAATAATGCTTTACGTCAAAAACATTTTGTGCTTTCTTAAGCTTTAGAGCAGCCTTGTCCAATAGAAATATAATGCCAGCCACATATGTACTTTTAAATTTTCTAGTAGCTATACTAAAAATATAAAAAAGGTAAAATTAACTTTAACAATAGATTTTATTTAACCCAATATGTTCAACATATTATTCCAAAATGTAATTCATATGAAAATTAGTAAGGTGTTTTTGATTTTTTTATAGTAAGTGTTTGAAATCTGGTGTGCATTTTACACTTACAGCAAGTTTCAATTCATAGCAGCCGCACTTCAAATGCTTCACAGGTACATGTGGCTAGTAGCTTTCAAATTAGATTGTACAGATTTAGGAGAGTTTATAAAATGATAGTAAATTAAATCACTACCACCACTTTGGGTTTTATTGCACCATTTTGTTCCCAGAATTTCATTAAGTAATTAAGACATACAGAGCAAAATTTAAATGGCCTCAAAAGCTGTGTCTTCCTCTATATTATAATTACAATGCTAATATATTTGAAGAACTCACCTTAACTTCTCTCTTTGAAGCAGGGAAAGATTGTGAAGTCTTATGTGTACAAATTTATAATAGAAACAAGACCATTGATATTATCAATTCTGAAAAACTGGTTTCTGTAAAATCAAGTTTTAGTTTTACCCAGGTGACATGAAATGAGAATATAAGATTTGAAATAATCATTACATTAATTACTTACTAAGTTAATTATATATTTAAATTGTATTTACTACCAAAAAAACACTTGGAAAGGCTGGAAGGAGTTAGAAGGGAGTCAGCAGTGTAAAACATGACGGAATTTTGTGGGTGTGTATAAAATTATTTTCAGTTGAGGTTCATTTTCAAAGCCTCCCCCTACTGCAGACAAAGGATATTTGGTTTTACTGAATGTTTTCATTAAGATTTTGATACACTGTTTACAGTCTGACATCCCAAGTGTCTCAGGCAGCTAGGTAGATCTGTTTGGATGCAAGAACTCCCTGTCATCTATGTGTGTCATCTGTGTGGGTGTTAACAAACCTTGCTACTTCTGGAGAAAGTAATGCTCTCAAAACACATTGTTTCATTATTAAGTCACTTGTTTTCTAAAGCATAGGACCATCTCAAAGTTTCGAATCATACTACTTTACAAAACTGCTTATTTATATGGCTTAGAAACATTGATAGTTGATCAACTAGATTTTGTGGCAAATCTTTAGAAATGCTCATTCGTCACATCTTTTGAAACCCATCCTTTTATTGGTAGTGGTTTTCCCTGGTAATTCCCAATCATGTCATATTTAGTGAAAACAATATCAGCAATCACAGAGGTCCATAGCCCTTTCCTCCAGGGAGTCTCCGAATGGTTTCCAGATTGGTGGGGGTGGGGGTC